>NC_000006.12:101131396-101282911 GCF_000001405.40 Homo sapiens | reverse complement strand
CTGTGCAGGGGGAAGTTCCCTTGGCTCTGTGTTGTCCCCTGGGTGGGCCGTTGTCCTGGCTTGCTTTTCTCTGTTGTCCATAGGTCGAGTTTTTTCTTGATTAGTCCCAATGTGAGTATTTCAGTTGAAGATTCTGTATTTACTCACCCCTTCCATTTCTCTCCATGAGAGCCACACACACTAGCTGCTTCTAGTCGGCCATCTTGACCATCTCCCCAGCAGTTTTTTTGTTGTTGGTTTTTGTTTTTTTTTTGTAATAGAGAAACAAAACAACATTTAAAACAAACAAGTAGCACTTTGGGAGGCCGAGACGGGCGGATCACGAGGTCAGGAGATCAAGACCATCCTGGCTAACACGGTGAAACCCCGTCTCTACTAAAAAATACAAAACATTAGCCAGGCGTTGTGGCGGGCGCCTGTAGTCCCAGCTACTCGGGAGGCTGAGGCAGGAGAATGGTGTGAACCCTGGAGGCAGAGCTTGCAGTGAGCCGAGATCGTGCCACTGCACTCCAGCCTGGGCGACAAAAAAAAAAAAAGTGACCATCCTGGGTTTACAGGCATGATACAATCGTGGTATCACAAACCACAGATGAGCAGCTGAGCTTAACAACATATGGGAAACCCAGTTTGAACCATAATAGTGACTGTCCTCCTTAGCACACACAGAGGAATTTTACTGTACCTCTTAAAGATGAACTGGAAGTATGTATGAGAACTTTAATGCATTTTATAATGTGTTGCATACTCAATGTGTATCGTTCTAGTTCTCTAGTATGGCTTTAATAACTCTCCATCTTTTCTTATGTTTATGAATCCAAAGTTATAATACATTTCTAAATGTTAGTATGTCTGGGGTGAGGGGATACTATCAGAATATTTCAATCAAGATTCTAGTATCTGCAAGGAAAATTTCTCATTGCAGAATTCTATTTTAACATCAATATTTCAGTGCTGTTATGCTATATATCCCATTTTTAATAAAGTGTCTTAGTGAAATCATGCTTCCATAACAAAATACCATAGGATGGGTAGCATGAGCAATAGAAATTTATTTTCCTATAGTTTTGGAGACTGGAAGTCCAAGATCAGGGTGAAGCATGGTCAGATTATAGTGAGGGCTCTCTTCCTAGCTTCTTTCCCACAGCATTGTTTTATCAAACAAGAACATCACCAATTGCCCCATGAGAAATGTGTACAGCTGTTACCAAGATGGCATTGTATACATGTGTATCACTTCATGGTCACCAGATGACCAGTGCAGCTCCAGTATCAAACCCAAATTCCATACAGTAAGAAGGGAGGAAGAAAATCTCCAGGGATCTGTTCATTTTATCAGGAAAGCAAGTTTCTCAGTTGACTCCTAGTCAGTTTCTTCTTAATATCTTATTGGTCAAAACTGGGTCAACCAGTCACCCTACCTGGAGGGAGGCTGGAAAACAGGTTATGCAGCTTTCTATTTCTATACTTGGTATGGCATGGAAGAAATGGATTAGGAGTGGCTAATGGGCAAGTCATCTGTGATAGGCAGAATTCTGACAGCTTCTGGTTTATACATACCTTCTCCCACTTATACACTCAAACTCTAATATAAGTACTGCTGTGAAGGGATTTTTTTCAGATATAATTAAGGACCAGAATCATTTGAGTTTAATATAGGGAGATTATCTGGGGGAGTCTAACCTAATCACAGAGCCCTTTAAATATTAACCTAGATGTCAGTGGCAGAGAAGCCAAGGTGATTCCAAAGCACCCTTGATCCTTAAAGAAGGAAGAGGCTGCATGGCAAGGAATGTGGGGACCTCTAGCAGTTTTGAATATCCCTTAGCTGACAGCAAGCAAGGAAATAGGGACCTCAGGCCTACAATCTCAAGGAATTGAATACCAATAAAAGTGAGTTCCAAACAGCTGGGGGTTTTTCTTCCTCCCACCCTTTTCTCAACAAAGTCTGTAGATATGAATTCATTTTAGCTGATATCTGGACTTCAAGTCTGAGAGAAGCTGACCTAAAAAGTAGCCATGCTGTGTAGAACTTCTGACGAACAGAACTGTGAGCCAATAAATGCATGTTGTTTCAAAGCCACTGTTTGTGGTCATTTGTTACACAGCACTGGGGAATTAATACACCTCTAACACTGCCTACCATAACTCCTTTTAGTTTAGGAAAAGTCTAAAGAGTATATTTATATAATAAAAGTAATGTAGGAAATAGTATGTGGTGGGGAGGTCAGAAATACTTTGAAGGAGGAGAGATGATTTGCTCCAGTTGGCATAATGAAAAGAGGCAAAAAGCAGGGAGCAGTGGTGAGTGTTGACTCAAGTCTCTAGATTCAAACAATCTGGGCCCTAAATTTGGAGGTTACAGGAAGATTTTCTGCATTCAGCAAGTAAACAAACAATTTCTAATAAGAAGAAAGTTTTCAAACTTAATTCAAAGAATAATAAAATAAGCATTGTTTTATAAAGCAATGACTCCATCATTTGTGCTAAAAGACAATTGCACATACAATTAAGATATGAACTTCGCTATATTATGGCTTCACTTGCAGAGGTATTACTCGAGGCCTGGAGCAAAAGAAGCATTTCTACAATTCAAATTTATTTCTATTCTAAAAAGGAACTTCAACTAAGTTATTGTAACTGCCCCAAAATCATAACCAATTACACAAAAAACATTCATTTTATCTAACTACATGTAACATCACTTTCTCAATATTGTATTTATACAAACTAAAAGAAGGAGTGAGAAAACAGTTAAAATCCACAAAAATGAACATTTAGTATCTATATCAATGTCAGAAAAGTTGATTACCATGGGAGCCTTTGACACTTATTCAGAAACACAGAATCACTACCTAATTTCATAGGGTCAATAAAAAGAACACTAGCCCCATATCACCTGAGTCAGGTGGACACTGGGTCCAGTGTCCCTACACTGGAAAAAAAATTAACCAGATGTGCATATATGATCCAAATCCTGGCATCTTGCAGATAATATGATCATTTGTCGGTATGACACCGGGATGCTTCGAAAAAAAGGCGAACCCTAAAAGTCACCCAGCATATTAGAATTCTTGAAGAGAAAAGTAAAAATCACCCTGTCACTTGGTGGAACTGAAGGATAGAAAAATTAGACTTCCTTTTGATTAATGTTAGTACCTTCAGCTTCCACTCTGTCACCTACTTTATTGGAATCTGGGTTTGCATCATGGGCAGGAAGGAGCAGTTAAAGCATGCATCAAGGCAAAGACAGAGCTAGCTTTTAAAGAAAGATTGCTTTAACTCTTCAAAGGACCTCCCCTTTCACATACATCATGTCTCTCTCTATGGCTAGCTCAGATCAGTGAGTATAATTAGACTGAATCTCTGGTGGCAGGATAGGTAGCAACTGAATGGCTAGAAAATTACATGCTTTACTTCTACACTGCCAGAAGCTCCTGTTTCCCTGTTTCAGATTTTGTTCTTTGGAAAAAATAAAAAAAGGTTTCCCAAAGAACAACTTTAAGAAGAGCTACATTCAAAATCTTTACAAAACAGCTAACATTACAAAAAGATAGTCTATAAGCACTGGGTCCTGTTGAATATGATAAGTAAATTAATAAAATGTAATATTAACACAAACCAGACAGGTTAAGGAAGAAAAGTAATGATATTAATCATACATGGATTATTTCCAAGTTCATATAAAAATCTAACCATATTTATTCCTTGTATAAGTTGAAGGTAAGATCTTGATCTTTAAATCCTTACATAGGCATGCTTATTGTCATCTTGGACACCCTTAAGAATTAGCTAAAATCATAAATCATCTCCATAAGAAAAATGCATATGCATACATTTATGGTGAAGTACCAGAACTTATAGAATTATAGAAACATCAGTTTTAAATCTTTCTCAATTAAAATTCTATTCATTATAGATTAAAAGATTTTAAAAATCCAAAATATAAGGACATATAAATATTTAAAAAAATCCTTTTCTTCAAGAAGTGTACACCCTATGCTGGACAAATGTTCAAATGTGATAGTTCCTTTCTCAGAAGCAGTACCTTGGGTAAATGAAGGTGTGCTATGAGACAAATTAAGGAATAACTTTTTAAAAAGGATGTTTAAATTAAAAGGCGGTTGAGAAAGACCAGTACATTATTCTAACAAAAGGGGATAGTGGGATAAAGTTTAGGCAAGACTTTAACAGATGAAGCAAACAAACAGAGAATGGCTGCTCAGATGGAGTCAAGGGAAAGGACAAAGGATATATAAAGATATACAGAAGGATGTTGAAAGAGTACTCTGAAGCCAGGAAAGGAATCTGCTGCAAAGAGCAACAGATGGACATGTGAAAACTATAAAGGGTGAGGATCATTTTCAAAGTGGTGTCAAAAGAGAAAGAGCAGAGGAGTTAGAAGTTGATGGAAAAGAAAGTTTATTATTAGACTAAAGAAATTAAGAAGCACAAGCCTTAAAATTCAAAAACTAAGTGGCAAAATTTAGAAATAGTAAAAGTAAATGAGTGTCAGGGGCCAGAGGGTATGATGGATTAATAACTCTCATGACAATTTTCACAAATAAAATAACTACACTACTTGACTGAGGAATGCAAGACCAAGGTCAAGAAGTGACAGGGGATGGGGGTGGAGATCCCTTTACTGATTGGTCTCAACCATACAGCAGGACATGTCCAGAAATTTCTAAAACGTCTGGTTTCATAAATGTTCCCTAATATCCATGGAATGTCTTTAAATCTCTCAATTCATTCCCAAACAAAACCCCTTTTGTCATACCAAGAACAGTATTCTTACCGTTCCTGAACCTCTTAACTTCTCTTTATCGACAGGCTCTCTTTCTCTGGTTGAAGTCAGCTTCAGTGGGCTATGGTCTCTCTCACATCTATGTCTCCAGCTTTTATCTTTCTCCGAAGTTCTAACCCTACATTTGCATTGCCTCCTGAATGGCACAATGTGGTCATACTGAAAAACAGTGATTAAATCTAACTTGTCTACTGTTTCCCTGTTAGTGAAAGGAAGAGATATACTTTCACTGTGTCCACTCACAGTTTTCTTCTATCTTGTTAAAGACATCTCCACTTACTAGTTTCCTAAGCTATGGAATTCATAATTATCCCATCTTTCTTTTTCTTCATAGCAAATTTTTCACTGAGTCTCATACAGTTTTCTCTAGAAATATACCTTAAATCCGATGCCTTTTCTTCACCACCATTATAACTTAAACACTCATCACTGACTTAATCCACCCAACACTCTTATAACTGGCCTTCCTGCTACCAGATTGACTCTTCTTCAAGCTACCTTCTTTAGTGTCCAGATAACTATTCCCAAAGCCAAACACATATGTAACAATAAGTTATATTGCTCCTTTGCTTAAAAGTCTTCATGGCTTTCATTTACCTACCGGAAGATGTTAAGATTCCCAATCAGGATAGTGAAGGTCTTTTGGGATCACAAATAGCTTATCTTTCCAACTTTACCCCCACTCACCTCTTGCTTTGCAATCCACAGCCAAACTCAGCTTCCCTAAATACAATTAGCAGTGTGCTCCTCCGGCTCATCAGGAGAATCCTATTCACTCTTCACAAAACTCAAATATTACTTTTTGAAAGCCCTTACCCCCGCCAGACACAGCAATGGACCAAATCTATCCCCCTCCAATACATTCCTCTGTATTAAAATAACTCATTTCTATATCTGCCACTCTCATGATACTTTGAGTGACTAGAGACAAATATGATAACATGCTCATCTCTTCTACTAGCACAGTGTCTGCTATGTCTTGTTTCTAAAAATATATTTCATAATTCACTACAAATGATGTGACTTCAGACTTTGATTTCAACCTATAGTTTTCCTAAAGTATATTGACTGGTTTCTCCAATGTACAGAGAATACCTATGCAGCTGGAAAAAAAAAGATGTCAAAATGAAATAGGAAAGGACATTTTGCCAAGTGCTTAGAAGTAGCTAGGAGAGAAATTGGAAGCGCATATATTGTTTTGTCATATTATTTTTAGTCTTGATATAGCATGACATGAATTTAAAAGTATATGTTTATATGTAATCAAATGGATGATTACCGAAGTCCTAGAAGCACATAAGAAAAACAAGGATGGTTAGAATTTTCTTCCAATAATTAAACCAAGAAAGCAAACACAGTAGATATAAAGGCATATTCTTTGGCCAGCAAAAATTGATCATAACCAAATTAATATTACAGATATAACTGAGTAAAGAATGTTTCACTCAAAAGAAGGTTGTTCAGCTATATGAGCACAAAAAATGATTGCCACAGAGGCAAACATCCACAATGTCAATACAAGCACTAACAAGGAAAAAAGATACCTTTCTAGGCAAGTATAGATGTAAAGCTGATCTCACTAAAATATTTCTGTGTGGAGCTGGACATAGTAAGCTATCTCTAAGATGTAGTCTTTATAATTACATGCTATCTCCTGACAAATTTTCTCAATTAAAAATAGGAAAATATAGAGCAATTGGCACCAGTCTTAAGAAAACAAACTCTTAGAAAATAATGGTAATTGAGAGTTACAAAGATTAAGAATGGGGAATAGGGTGACTATACTGCTGGAATCTGAAGAGTGATTTCAAGGAGGAAATAATGCAATCTGAAAGGATAAGTAATGAGTCATACACTTAAAATTGGTAATAAGGACATGATTTTAGTGAACTGGAAACCAGACTGCTGAAAGTGAAGGAGAAAACAAGACAAAGAAAAGTAAAGGCAATAATATAAAGCTCATAAAGCACAAGGACAAGTGACACATTGAGATTCACACTTACAGAAAGATAAGAGCTTTCAAGTTTTGCTCACAGACCTGCAACATACCATTTTGTTCATGTAACTAGAAGTGACTAGAAGCAGGAGATGTCAGAAAAGTGGTAGCCAAAAAAAGAAGAAGAAGATAGTGATCAATAGCAATAAATAAAATACAAACTAAAGTGGCTCTACAATTTTTGCTTTCCATACCAAACCAATTCCAAGAGGAAAAGATCAAAGTTTAGTTGTCAATACAGAGGATATTGCATCCAACGTAGATTTTAAAATTAGGCTTCTTCTATTTTCTTTACTACAACAAAATCAACATTATCATGGTCTGCTTTGCGCTCAAGTATAAATTTTGCCACCAATTATGGGCAGCTGAAGGGAGACTCTCAAGCCCAATTTTATCAAGTTAAGAAGCTTTTATTTTATTGTAAATACATGTGTATTCCTTTCACATAGAGAAAAAATGTTCACTATTTTTGAAATGGAAATTTTAACAGTAAGCGGATCAGTAACACGTTCTCGACAAAGATAATCTGAATCGCTGCCGTTTATCAGGATTTATCTAACCTTTAGTACTTAAGACACTTTCTATTATAATTTAAATATATAACTAGGATAAGCCCAAGCAGTTATTTGTTCTCTGAAATGGTCTCCTAAAGCAAGTGGTTCAAGTTCAGTAATTTAAAATTTCAAAAATCAAACAGAAAATTACACACAAAGCTGCTGAGAAGGTAATCTTTTTTTGGCACAGGACCAGACCACCAAACAGGTCTTTTTGACCTTTTATTTCTGCATGGAGAGTAAAAATTCTGAGATCTTTCAACTCTTACAGGATTAGCCAAACATGAACAGTAAGCCTACTAAAAGTTGATGAAACCTCCTTTAAAGCAAGGCTGTATGTTGTAACACATTACAGTAGCTTAGCAAATCTCAAGCCTTGAAGCAGATGACTTGATAATGAGCAGGGTCAGTGTTTTTACTTAGTTCTGCAGGGGATTGGAGTAGTTCGAAGGCAGGAGAATTAATGTATAACAAAGAAATTATATTTATTTAAATTCTCCCAAATATTAATCAATAAATTGCACATCTAATATTAAAATATTTGTAGAGAAAATTGAAAACAATAGTTCAAAGTATGATTTATCTACTTAACTATTACTTCCTATAATTCATTAATTGCTTTTGGACTTTGACTAAAAGTGACTTTTAGACTCCCTCTCTAGTAAAAAATGATACACACACACACACTCATATGCACACATATAGACACATACACATAAATTGAACCAAACATTTACCATTTCTTTTTGCTAGGAACATTCCAATTCCACTTTTCTATAATAGTAACTTTACAATATACAATAAATTATTGTTAACTACAGTCACCTTATAGTGCTATAAAGCTCTAGAACTTATTCCTCCTATCTAGCTGTAATTTTTTATCCATTGACCGACCTCTCCCCACCCTGTCCTCCTCACTACCATTCCCAACTTCTAGTAACCATTATTCTACACTCCACTTTTATGAAATCAACTTATTTAGCTTCTGTGCTTGACTTATTTTACCTAGCATAATCTTCTACAGGATCATCCATATTGTCGTAAATGATAAGATTTCATTCTGTTTTGTGGCTGAATAGTATTCCACGTGTATAGATACCACATTTCTTTATCCATTCATCTGTTGATGGACACTTAGGTGGATTAGCTATCTTGACTATTGTGAACAGTGCTGCAATAAACATGGGGGGGATGAAGATATTTTTTCAATGTACTGATTTTCTTTCTTTTGGATAAATACCTGCTAGTGGGATTGCTGGATCATATGGTAGTTCTATATTCAGTGTTTTGAAGAACATCACCAGAAAATAAAAAATATTATTATTATTTGTCTTTTTGATAACAGTCATTCTAACTGGAGTGAGATAATACTTCATTGTGGTTTTGATTTGCATTTCTCTGACAATTAGTGATGTTGAGCATTTTTTATATACATGTTAGCCATTTTTATATCTCTTGAGAAATGTCTATTCAGATGCTTTACTCATTTTAAAATCAGATTATTATTTTTGCTGTTGACTGTTTATATATTCTGGATATTAGTCCTTTGCAAAATGAATAGTCTGCAAATATTTTCTCTCATTTTATATGTTGTCTCTTCACTCTGTTGATTGTTTTTACGGCTATGCAGAAATTTTTTACTTTCTCTTTTCCTATTTGAATGCCCTATTTTTGCTTTTCCTGCTCGTGCTTTTGAAATCCTACCCATAAAATCTTTGCATGGACTAATGCACTGAAATATTTTCTTTATGTTTTCATTGATTAGTTCATATTTTTAGACCTTAAATTGAAGTCTTTAATTCATTTTGCATTGATTTTTGTATTTGGTAAGAGACAGCATTCTGAATAAAACATTCTGAATATGTAGTTTTTCCAGCACCATTTATTGAAGAGGCTATCCTTTCCCCTTCAGTTCCTTTGTTGGAAATGATTGGCTGTAAACATGTGAATTTATTGCTGCATACTCTATTCTGTTCCATTGGTCTATGTGTTCATTTTTATACCAATACCATGCTGTTTTGGTTGCTATAGCTTTGTATTATATCTTGAAGTCCTCAAGTTTGTTCTATTTCCTCAGTATTGCTTTGGTTATTTGAATTCTTTTGTGGTTTCATACAAATTTAAGAATTTTTTTATTTCTGTGAATAATTTAATTAATATTTCAATTTGGATTGCATTGAATTTTTAGATTGCTTTTGGTATTATGGTCATTTTAACAATATTGATTCTTCCAATCCATGAGAATGGAATATCTATATTTTTCATGTACTCTTCAATTTCTTTCATCACTCTTTTATAGTTTTCATTGTAGAGATCTTTTACTTCCTTGGATAAATTTATTCCTGGACATTTTATTTTTACACCTATTATAAATGGGATTACCTTATTAATTTCTTTTTTAGTTATTTTATTATTGGTGTATGGAAACATTACTGATTTTTGTATGTTGATTTTGTACCCTGAAATTACTAAATTTGTTTCTTAGTTCTAATAGGTTTTGGTGGAGTTATTAGGTTTCTCTATACATAAAATCATGTTGTCTGCAAAGAAAAAAAATTTGACTTTCTCTTTTCCTATTTGAATGCCCTTTATTTCATTCTTTTGTCTATTTTTTCTGGCTAGAACTTCCAATACTATGTTGTATAACAGTGATAAAAGTAGGCGTCTTTGTCTTGTCCTGTTCTTTGATTTTTAGAAAAAGAGCTTTCAGTTTTTGACCATTTAGCATAATATTAGTTCATATAAGGTCTTTATTGTATTGAGGTATGTTCTTTCCATATCTAATTTGTTGAGAACTTTTGTTATAAAAATATGTTAACAAATGCTTTTTCTGCATCTATTGAGATGATTATATGGTTTATATCATTCATTCTATTGATGTGATGTATCAGATTTATTGATGTTTCATATGTTCAATCATACTTCTATCTATGGGATAAATCCCACTTGATCATGGTATATTATCTTATTGATGTGTTCTTGAATTCAGCTGGCTAACATTTTATTGAGGATTTTTGCATTTTTGTTCATCATGGATATTAGCCAGTAGTTTTTTTTATTGTTGTGTCCATGCCCGGTTTTGGTATCAGGGCAATGCTCATAGAACAGTTAGGAAGAATATATAGTTCTTCAGTTTTTAAAAATAGTTTGACGGCCAGGCTCCGTGGCTCACACCTGTAATCCCAGCACTTTGGGAGGCCAATGAGGGTGGATCACGAGGTCAGGAGTTCGAGACCAGCCTGACCAACATGGTGAAACCCCATCTCTACTAAAAATACAAAAATTAGCCAGGTGTGGTGGTGTGTGCCTGTAATCCCAGCTGCTTGAGAGGCTGAGGCAGGAGAATCGCCTGACCCCGGGAGGCAGAGGTTACAGTGAGCCAAGACTGTGCCATTGCATTCCAGCCTGGGCGACAGAGCAAGTCTCCGTCTCAAAAAAAAAAAAAAAAAAAAAAAAAAAAAATTTGACAAGCATTGGTGTTAGTTTTTGATAGTTTGGTAGAATTAGCAGTAAAACCATCCAGTCTTGAGCTTTTCTTCATTAGAAACTTTTTATTACTGATTAGATCTTAGTACTCATTATTGTCCTCTTCATGCTTTCCATTTCATTCTAGCTCCATCCTAGTAGGTTGTGTGTGTCCAGAAATTGATCCACTTCCTGTAGGTTTTCCAATTTGTTAACAGGTAGTAGTCTCTGCTAATTCTTAGTATTTATTTGGTATCAGTTGGAAGATTTCTTTTTTATTTATCTTTTTATTTAGTTGTGTCTTCCTTTTTTTTTAGTCTAGTTAATGGTTTGTCAATTTTGTTTATCTTTTCAAAAAAATACTTTTTTGTTTCACTGATCTTTTGTACTTTTTTGTCTCTATTTCATTTAGTTCTGCTCTCATCTTTATTCTTTCTTTTCTTTTACTAATTTGGGGTTCCTACTTTTCTAATTCCTTGAGGTGCATCACTAGGTCGCTTACTTGAATTTTTCTAGTTTTTAAATGTTGGTGTGTTTATTGTTGCAAACTTCCTTCTTTTTACTGCTTTTGTTGTATCCCAAAGGTTTTGGCATGTTGTGTTTCAATTTTCATTTATTTAAAAAATGTTTTAAACTTCCTTCTTGATTTCTTCATTGACCCATTGGTCATTCAAGAGCATGACATTTAATTTCCCTGTATTCGTAGTTTCCAAAGTTCCCCTTATTAATTTTTAGTTTTATTTCACTGTGATTTAAGAAGATACTTAATATGATTTCAATGTTTAAAAATTTGTTGAGACTTGTTTAGTGGCCTAACATGGTTCATCCCGGAGAATGTTCTATGTGATGAGAAGAATATGTATTCTGAAGGTGTTGAATGAAATGTTCCGTAGATATCTGTTAGTCCTATTTTTGTCTATGGTGCAGTTTCTGCAAGTCTTAACCTTCTTTGTTGATCTTCTATCTAGATCATTTGTTCAACGCTGTGATCGGGTAGTGAAGTCCCTAACTATTATTGTATTTGTGTCTATCACTTTAATTCTAATAATATTTGCTTCATATGTCTGGGTGCTCCAGTGTTGAGGGCATATATATTTATAATTGTTATGGTCTCTTGCTGAATTGATCCCTTCATCATTGTATATTGATCTCCTTTGTCTCTTCATATGTTTTTTGACTTAAAGTCTGTTTTTATGATGGGGATCTTTACAGCTGAAGTGAATTTCATGAATAATGAAAGTGAGTTTCAGCATATAATTTGGTCTTCTTTTAAGTCCATCAGCAAGTCTATATTTCTTAAGTGGATAATTTAGTCTATTTACATTCAAGGTTATTATTGATAGATGAGGTTTTTTTCCTGTCAATTTGTTAATTATTGTCTGGTTATTTTGAATATCTTTTGTTCCTTTTTTCTCATTATCATTGTGGTTTGGTGGTTTTTCTGTAATGATAATATTTGAGTCCTTTCTCTTTCTCAATTGTGTGTCTGCTTTACTAGTGAGCTTTATACTTTTGTATGTTTTCATGATGTACTTGTTATCTAAATGAAATGGATACAAACAGAACTAAATAAAATAGATACAAATATAACTAAATAAAATGGACACACAAATACAAAAAAAGAATAAAATAATAAGGTGCTTTTTAAAAAATGATAAACATGATAGCTTACAGATGTAGGACTCCCTTACACATTTCTTATTCGCTGATCTAGTAGAGATGAATTCTTCAAGTTTTTGCTTTTCTGAGAGACTTTATTTCTCCTTCATTTTTAAAGGATAGCTTTTCAGGTATAGTAGTATTTGCTTAAAGGTTTTTTTCTTTTAGCACTTTAAAAATATCATCCAATTCTCTCCTGGCCTGTGAGTTTCTGTTGAGAAATATGCTGTTAGTCTGATGGGGATTCCCTTATACGAGATTTTAACACTTTTCCCTTGCTCTTTTTGGAATTCTGTCTTTGTCTTTGAATTCTGACAGTTTGATTATAATGTACCTCAGAGAAAACCTTTTTGGATTGAATCTATATGGGGAGTTTTGAGCTTCCTGTATCTGAGTGTCCATATTTCTCACAAGACTTTGGAAGTTTTCAGCTATTATTTTATTAAATAGGTTTTCTATGCATTTTTCTCCTGTTGTTCTGAAACTTCCATATTATAAATGTTTGCTTAATGGTGCCTAATATGTCACATAGGATTTCTTCTTTAATTATTTTTTTTTGCCAGACTTAGTTATTTCAAAATATCTTTCTTCAAGTTTAAAATTTTTTCTTCTTTTTAATCTAATCTATTGTTGAAGCTCTCAGTTGCATTTTTTATTTACTCATTGAATACTCCGGTTCCAAGTTTTTTTTTTTTTTTTTAGTTCTTCTTTATGATATCTATTTCTTTGTTACATTTCTTATTCAGCTCATGAACTGTGTTTCTGATTTCACTGAATTATTTACCTGTATTCTCTAGTATCTTACCAACTTTCCATAATGTCATTATTTTGAATTCATTTTCAGGCATTTCATAGATTTCCGTTTTGGAAGATATGTTACTGGAGAATTATTGTGTTCCACTGGAGATATCATGTTGCCTTGGCTTTTTTGTTTCTTGTGTTTCTATGTTAATATCTGCATATCTGATGGAACAGTTGCTTCTTGCAATTTAGTGTACTACCTTTCATAAGGAAAGACTTTTTCCTGTAGATGTGTCCTATAGTTTCAGTTGGACAGGATCCTTTGGCTTTGTTCTGACTGGGCACAGTAATGTAATCTTCATGATTTTTTCTTCTTTAATCAATGTCAGCAGAGTCTACAGGTGCCTCAGTGGCCTAGGATGCTGTTACTTGTGGAGCGGTGGGGACAACAGTAGACCCAAGCTGGACAGTCTTCAAGCCCCTAGGCAGTGCATGTGAATGTGGGGTGACCCTTCCACTGGAGATGGTGGAGTCCACACTGGGGGTTGTAGTGGGCCCCAGATAGGCAGCTCTCAGGCTTTGCAGTATGTGCATGTTAGCTCTCTCTTTCCTGGAGGAATTTTCCATGCTATGCTGGACTGTTTGTTTCCAGTAGCATAGGGTGATGTGTGGGCTCAGGTGCCAAGGGTCACAGCCTCACTGTTGGGTCTGGCTGGTGTTGTGATACTGTAGACCATTGGTTGGGTGTAGCAAGATGTCAGAGGGACCCCAGTGATGTGGAAATACAGGGGCTATTGGACCTCTAGGCAGGATTTACTCTGTTGGTGGCTCCACTCTAAATATGGTGCCATGCTGCAGCAGCTTGGGTTCTGTTGCCCCAAGCTCTGGAGGCGGGATGATTCAGCATGAATTTCCTCTCTGAAATAATGCAGTCACATGGACTCCAGGCAATGCTCTATGCTGGGCTCAGGAATGTAAGTGCTCTGGGGATCTCCTGTAGCTAAGATTGCAGCCATCTGTAGTAGGAATGTTGACTTCTGGGTATCTCTCACGTACCTTTTCTCTTCAATGGAGACTCCTTCTTGATTCCAAGCCAATCCTGGCTGACTTCTTTATTTCTGTCTATATACTGCCATCCTGAGTTTTCATGTCTCATGGGGGTTTTTGTCACTTCCTTGTTTCATTCCAGTGTTCTCCCTTAGAAGGTCCATTTAATGTGTGGTTATCCAGTTGATGTTTTGGTCTTTTTTTGTGGAGTAAGTGCTGGGTGCCTCTAGTCAGCCACTTTGATCTATTTTTTTAAGCCTGAGAATTTAGAAGTGGGAAGAGTACAAAATGACTTGGTTTAGTGAAAGCTGAGCTTGTTTAAGATATGTTAATTTTGAGATGGTGGCAGAATACTAATCAGAAAGATAGAGTAGGAATTTAAAAATGTAAGGCTTGAGCTCAGAGTTGTAGTCAATGTTAAGCATTTAGATCTATAAATAAGTATAATGTGGAAACTTGGGTAGGCATAAATGACAGAAAATACAGAGGTTAACTAAAGAGTGAAGATTAGATGCAAGTGTCTACAAAAGACATTATTGATTAATTAAGTTACCAGGGATCTGTCCACCATCTAACAAGCTTCCAACTCAACTGAAATTTCCTCAAGAGCACAAATTGCTGTATTTTATTTATCTTTATATGCCAAGTGCTTAACATAGTACCTGGCCAATAGTAGATATTCAACAAAGTGTATAAAACCTACATTGACAGAAATCATGGACTTTTGGTTTGTTATATCCAGTTCTACCTCATGTAGCTCCTTTTTAGAGTTCAATACTCATCTTATCACACAAAACCCTTCTCTCCAGGTTTACCTGCCACTCTCCCCTTGTGCCAACACTTTGCTATAGCTAAGCATAACCATTTAAGTTCACAAAAACATATCACTTTGTTGCAAAAGTACATATCATACACATGCTGTTTCTGCTAATAGAAATCAATTTTTCTGCCCCACTCATCACCTTCATCCAGATAACTCCTCCTCATTCATCAGTTTCATCTCACATGTTGTTTTCTTCAGGAAACTTTCCTTATAACACATCTAATCTGACTTAAAGTTAGTTTAGCTGGAGCTGGTTCAAACAGGCTCCTGAGAATCTATTGTGCAGGTTTCTTCCCACCTCTATGTTCAGTGGCATCATACTGATGCCCCAAATTATCCATAGTAGAGGTATTTACACCAGGGGAATGGACACCTGCCTCAAATTGCTTTTTTTTCCTCCAAAGAACTAGTTGTTGAACATTTACCAACCCATACTGAGTTTCTCTTTTCCATGTTTTTATACTCCCCAGGAATTATATTATCATAAATACTATATTATCTCACTGTCCTAAAATCATTGATTTGTTTGCCTCTCTCTCTTTCTAAATCTTAAATTTCTCATAGATTTTCTATCCTTAGCTTCTACCACATATACTAGGTACTCAAGAAATGTTTATTAAATAAATCAATGAAAAAGAATACAATTGTTTCCTTTTATTGATACTTTGAAATCTTTTAACCTTGAGTTGATAGAGCCTTTCTCCAAGTATAGGAATTACAATTATGAGAATAAATTAATTATTTTAAGGGGAAAAAAGCCTCTTTCAAGAACAGCAAAAATCCAAGGAGTGAACATTGCAAAATGTATATATCTGGAGGCATTCTTTGGGTAGGGAAGAGCAGAGTTGGAGAAAATAGGGAGCAGAGAACAGAGGGGGCAATAAAAAGTATATTTTGAGATATCAGAGACTATCAGGATAATGCACTGTGGGAGAATAGAAAAGAAAGGATTTATAAAGATTGGGCTAATCAATTATCAAATGCTACTCGTTGTAATTTATAATGCTTAATAATTCTTTAAGAGGGATAATTTGCCCAAGTTCCAGCATCAACACTGAGGATAATACACAGATCACATGATAAAAAACTGGCTTTAGGATCACGTGCAGTGGACTTTTTATTTAAGAAAATAGAAGTGAAAATTTTACTATGAACATTTCCTAAGCAAAGATTTTTCTTTTAAACAAGTATCACAAATATTTGTGGGATTAGAAAATAATCCCCCCCCCACACACACAAACACACACATAGCAAACTTATATAATTGGAAAAGTATATTTATCTCTTCCTAATACTTCAATGCTAGAAAAATATTTTACTTTAACATTTATTTAAAAGCAATACTATATTCTGTTAAAGTGGTAAACTGATAATTTCAATAATTGCTTCAAATAAAATTTTAAAAATGTTTTAATTGTGATAAAATACACGTGACATAAATTTACCATCTTAACGATTTTTAAGTGTACAGTTCACCAGGGTTAAGTGTATTCACTTTGTTTTACAACCAATCTCCAGACCTTTTTCATCTTGAAAAACTAAAACTCTTTACCACATCAAACAAAAACTCCCCATTTCCTCCTCCCCTCAGCCCTTGACAACTGCCATTCTACTTCCTGTTTTTATGTGTTTGACTACATTAGATACTTCATATAAGTGGAATCATATAGTATTTGATTTTGAGGGTGTGGCTTATTTCACTTGGCATAATGTCCTCAAACCATGGTTCATCCATGTTTTAACATGTATCAGAATTCTCTTTCTTTTTAAGGCTGAATACTTCATTGTATATATATACCTCATTTTGTTTATCCATTCATTCGTTGACAGACACTCGGTTTGCATATACTTTTAGCTATTGTGAATAATACTATCATGAATATGGATGTGTTCATATGAAATTTGAAAATTATTTTTCTTAGTAGTTATAAATAATAATTATATTGAAAGTTAGCAAAACTAGAAACCAATACATCAAACATTATGCTTTTGGCAATAGAATAATAAAAGTTTCCATATAAAGTAAAAATAGTCAACAGCCTTTACCAAGTTCAACATGAGAAATCATTTACTTGCCAAATATATAATTAGAAGAAACTTTTAGAAATTGAAAATAATATGCTTCACTTTTACATACATTATATATGTAAAAACCTCTAAATTTTACTAAATGCTTTGAATA
Organism: Homo sapiens; assembly: GCF_000001405.40. Lineage (NCBI taxonomy): Eukaryota > Metazoa > Chordata > Mammalia > Primates > Hominidae > Homo > Homo sapiens. The sequence goes on along the minus strand of NC_000006.12, from coordinate 101,265,640 downwards.
ATTAAAAACTGAAAACGGATATAAAACCATTGCTTTAAAATTGTTCAGTGTGATACAGAGAAATATTTCTTCTTTGATCACTATAACCAAACTCCCTCAAAATAAATTGCCTGTGTTAATTTAAAAAAAATCTTGTCATGTATTTTACAGGATATTTGGACAATAGCAGCCGAAGGCTTTTTTAAAAAAACTGTATACATTGGATAAGAGAAATGACTTCAACATATGGCTAGTTTTGCAGCTATAACTTAGCAGATGGTTAATACTGTTTGAAAAACTAAAATAAAATTTGTTAGCATCTTAATATACCACGTGATCTTATTTACCTTTTAAATTACTGCTGTATCTTTCTATAATGTAAATTGCTTTAATTATGGCAAAATAACCAAAATAATAGAAAATACTTGTTAAATATAAGAAAAGGAAGTAAAAAAATAACAATTTACTACAAGAATAATACTTTTTTATTCCATAAAGTCTTCAAATAAAAGTATAGTAAAACACTAATCTAATTACCTTGTTGTAAGTTCTACTAAATAATGTCCACCATGTCTTGCATGTGTAACTCTTACTCTAATGCCAGCTCAAACATTAGTGTTGATTATTCTAGGTCCGCAAGACCTGGAGATTTATGAGAGTCCTATGCCTCCGAAAACTAATGAAATTTCTAAACTAAAACAACCCTTGCTCCAGCCAGGTGCAGTGGCTCATGCCTGTAATCCCAGCACTTTGGGAGGCTGAGGCAGGCAGATCACGAGGTCAGGAGATCGAGACCATCCTGGCTAACAACGTGAAAACCCGTCTCTACTAAAAAATACAAAAAATTAGACAGGCGTGGTGGCGGGCACCTGTAGTCCCAGCTATTCGAGAGGCTGAGGCAGGAGAATGGCATGAACCTTGAACCCGGGAGGCAGATCTTACAGTGAGCCAAGATTTCACCACTGCACTCCAGCCTGGGCAACAGAGCGAGACTCCGTCAAAAAAAAAAGAAGAAAGAAAGAAAGAGAGAAAGAGAGAAAGAAAGAAAGAAAGAAAAGAAAGAAAGAGAGAGAAAGAAAGAAAGAGAGAGAGAGAAAGAAAGAAAGAAAGAAAGAAAGAAAGAAAGAAAGGAAAAGAAGAGAAGAGAAAAGAAAAGAAAAGAAAAGAAAAGAAAAGAGAAAAGAAAAGAATCCTGCCCCCTCTAAGCCAGGCTCATGTGTTCACTTGAAAATTTTCCAAATGGATTGTGATATGTCCATAGGAAACAGGTATTTTAATTTTTAACTATTTTTAGTCTACTTATTTTAATTTTTTATACAGAGAGTTCTAAAATTGTCCATTTTAAAATTTTTATACGTGGAAGAAGAAAGAGTTGCACACAATTAATTGCATTGTTCAGGGAAATATCTAATAGTTACAAAGAAGATTACTCACTGATACAATGTAGCAAAGGAATTCAATTTCATAGAAAACAAAATCGTAATTAAATACATAGGGTTGATTCTTGTTATTCTTGGAGGTTATGTTTTATAAACTAGAACTCTGAAGTGTTGTTCTTAGGGGAAATACAAGGTTAGATTCCTAGAAGCCTCCAGTCACAAAATTTTCATCAACCAAAATGCTATCTAAGTTATTTTGCTACTGTCCATGTTTCAACAAGCCATTCTCATCAGCGTTGAAAACCTGTTCTTTCACACAACTCTTTTCCTGTATAGCACTAAATAGTTATTTTAAAAAATTATTCTCCAGTATCCTGATCTTCAGAACCCACTTTATCTGAAAGTTAAATATTTTTCATACTATATGGCCATTTGCAATATGTGAGTCAGCCGGCATTTGCTAAGAATGGTTTAACATTTTTCTGATGCTGGGTAACTTTCTTTGGCTTTCAGCCTCAACAGCAACACTATTCACTACATTTTAAAAATCAGTTGTCATCTCATGAGTCCACAAATATAGCCATTTTCCCATAGCTTTATCACACACCATAGATGTTACTTTAGTACTTTATGGAGTGGCCTCACGTAGATATCAAAGAATTTATTCTTCCCTTTTCTAGATATACAGTATTATTGATTATTAATATTGAACTGATGACCAACCCCACTATACCCATACCTTAATGAAGCTTATCTAATGCCCATATTTGCCTCCATAAAGAATATTACAGTAAACTTGTGCTTTGGAACACCAGATAGCACTTTAGCATTACACTTGGGGGCCATTTTAAAAAGTGAAATCACAAACAAAAAGCCCCAAAATGCAAAAAACAGGGCATTCAATAGACCTGGAAAAGGTTACTTATATACAGTATGAGAACTGAAACAAGAAGGCAGAGTCTCACTTTGTTCAACCTCAGCTAGAATGTGTGGGTCAGGCAGGTGCCTCACATTTTTAGCAGTTCTGCACGTTTACAAAAGACCACAAAAGCACAAGCGTATTAATTTGAGGGTTAGAAATAAATTTTATCAAGTAGATGGATTCACAAATACTGAATTTGCAAATAACAAGGACAAATGCAAGTCACAAATATAAATTGTGAGCTTGTGTTTTGGGAGCAGGACTGACAGAATTACATCTGTGTGGCAGAAAGCTCTGGAGCAAAATAGAGCACTTGAAGAGCTGAGAATATCTAGTCTTGGTTCTAACATATTGCTCACTCACCACAGGATCTGCCTTCTTTTACATTTTTAAAAGTCATTGTTACCTATATGTTAATTTACCGTAAATTGGAAAACCAAAATCAACCAGAAGGTCCTAATACATGGTCAGCATAATGACACAGAACTAATATTCATTCCAATTTTAGTTCTCTTCCAATGAACTTACCTGTTAATGAAGTAACATAACACTTAATACAGTTTGTCAAAAAAGCTTTAAAAACTAACAACCAGAAGTAGAAAACAAAGTAAGTAGAAAAAGAAAAACATATACATTTACCATGTGCCAGATTTAAGAATCTAAGAGGAAGGAAAAAAAGAAAGCTAAAATTTATTAAATCCACTATTATCTATCAGGCAATTCAGTAGTCCCTTTTTACAGAGGGAGAAAATAAAAATCAGAGGATAGCATGCACAAGAACACAGTACAAAGTGATGAAACCATTATTCAAACCTGCTGTTACAATGCAAGGGAAATTTCTTTCCAATCAAGAGTGTAAGGCCAACATCGGTTTAAGGGACAATGTTATAAGGAAAATTAGCTTCTACTAGTAAGTTTGTAGATGTGTCTAGGATTGCAACTATGAGCAGGGAAAATGGACTTGTTATTCCCTGTGTGTCCCTCCATCCCATGCTTTGGGCCCCGATCTCTGAGGACTGTGCTACCAGGGCTCTATTATCCTCTGGCTTGCAGTTGGGTTTAGCTAGTGGGAAGCTGCAGCAGGAGAGTAGACGTCAGGATAGAACAAGGTAGTCCTAACAAAAAAAGAGGTAATAAGGCTGCTAATATGCATTCATAGTTTAAAGAGATGCAGGGGAGGGAGCAGGCATGGTGGCTCAAGCCTGTAATCCCAGCACTTTGGGAGGCTGAGGCGGGTGGGTCACTTGAGATCAGGAGTTTGAGACCAGCCTGGCCAACATGGTGAAACCCCATCTCTACTAAAAATACAAAAAACTTAGCTGGCATCATGGTGCATGCCTGTAATCCCAGCTACTCGGGAGGCTGAGGCAAGAGAATCGCTTGAACCTGGGAGGCAGAGGTTGCAGTGAGCAGAGATTATGCCACTGCACTCCAGCTTGGGAGACAGAGTGAAACTCCATCTCAAAAATAAATAAATAAACACATAGTTTAAAGAGATGCGCACAGTGAAGAGGTTCCTGTCACGAAGCAGGATATCACTAATTAATGTATAAATGGTGACAATGATACCTAGTAACACTGTTTTGAGAATTAAATATTAAGATAAAAGGGTAAAATTAGACGCAAAGTTGCCAAAGCCATTGCATAAATGCATAGTAATTTCTTTACTTCTTACTTAAAAATTAGAATATAAAAATTTTTAAAACTTTATAATAAAAATAGTTAAGTGACTTATATAAAATCAACAATAAACCATGGACTTTTAAGTGAATTTGAATTTTCTGCTTTCTTTTTCCCACTACACAAGGTCAGTAGAGTCTCATCAAAAGTTACGGCTCAGTCAATCCCATGAAATTCTCCTACCCCGGGCTCCACTAGTCCCCAGGTGAGGGCACTTTAGTATAGCTACAGACCCCCGATTAAGGGGAAGTCTAAGAAACTTGAGAACGGTGGCCTTTAATCTTTCTAACAGTAGGAAAATCTATTCTTGTCCTTTTCTCTTCTTATGTAACTTTAAACCATAAACATCAAATAAATATGTATTAAAGTCTAGAGGAACTGGCTGATTCTTATGATTTTAAACAGGTTTATCATGGTATAACTGATATAAAATACATTACAATTATTTAAATCATACAACTTGACAGGTTTTGACATATGTATAAATACATGGAAACATCACCTTAATCAAGATAATGAATATATCCATTACACACAAAAGTTTTACTACACTCTTTTATAATCCTTCCCTTCCATCCATCCCGATCCTTCTCCTCATCCACTGTTTCCAGATACCCATTGATCTGCTTTTTGTCACTCTGAATCAGTGGTCCCCAATCTTTTTGGCACTAGGGACCGATTTTGTGGAAAACAATTTTTCCATGGATCGGTGGTTGGGTGGAGGGGGGCGGGGGAATGGCTCGGGGATGATTCAAGCACATTACATATAATGCGCACTTTATTTCTATTATTATTACATTGTAATATACAATGAAATAATTATACAACTCATCATAATGTAGAATCAGTGGGATCCCTGAGTTTTCCTGCAACTAGATGGTCCCATCTGGAGGTGATCGGAGACAGTGACACCCAAACTGTGTTGCTTATGTCTGGTCTATTTCTTAATCTCGTTTTAGTTGCTGTCACTGCAGAAGACCCTGCTTCACAAAGATAAGATGTTGGATATGGAAGCATGCTTTTCAGTGCTTTTGTGGCAATCTCAGGATATCCTGCTTTGAATTAAATCCAGAACATATGGAGATCTGAAGTTGTCTCAAACATACTTTTAAGGCCACTGTCATTTGTGATCTCAAGCAGTTGATCCTCTTCTAGCACAGACAAAGTTGATTCACCAGGCTTACTCACAGATGGTTCCCAACAGATCCATTCCTTCCCAGTTTGGCAGTCTTTTATGGTTGGGAAGTAATGCTCAAATTCTTTTGAAAGCTGGGATAGGTGATCATGAACCAGCTCAGAGAAAGAAGGCCCTGGCTCAGTCTCTTTCAAAATCTATGCTAATGTTTGAAACATGTCAAAAATCTCAATGTTCACTCATCGCTCCCATAATTCCAGTTTGGCTTTGAATGCAGCCACTTTATCTGCTGACTTGAACATAGTTGTCATTCTCCCTTGAAGTGACATATTAAGTTCATTGAGCAGGTTGGATATGTTACAAAAGTAAGCAAGTTTTGTGACCCATTCTGTGTCACTGGAACATGCTGCCAGTGGTGACTCTTTTCTAAAACAAACCTCTGGAGCAGCTCTGACAACTAAAAAACTCTGGCCATCTTTAGAAAGCCATCTCACTTCTGAGTATAAGACAAGACATGTGTGCTCTGCATCCATCTTCTCACAGAACTAGGGGAACAGATGTGAGTTAAGGGCATGTACTTTAGCGTGGTTAATTATTTTAATCACATCCTGCAAAACATTGTTACATTCAGGTGACACTTTTTGGCTAGCCAGCATTTCTCTATGGATGACACATAGATTCACATTCAGAAGTGGCATAGATTCACATCTATGCACACTCAGAAGTGCATAGATTCACATTCAGAAGTGGCCTCTTTGACCTGAATAGTGAAACCAGAAAGCCGTCCAGTCATGGCAGCTGCTCTGTCTATGCATACTAACACAAAATAACCAATTCAGTTTTCCTGATGCGTAATCGTTCAAAGACTTGAATAGTTCTGCAGACGTGGTGTTGGTTGGCAACAACAGTGCACATAACATATCCTCATGCACATCCTCCTGAAAAATATATCACGCAAAAATAAGCATTGTTGCTTTGTTGTCAACATTGGTAGACTCATCAACCTGGATTGCATACCACAGTGACTCATTAATCCTCTCTAAAAGTTGTGCCTCAATATCCTCTCCTATTTCATCAATTTGTCTAGTTATGTTGCTTGCCAAAAGAGGCACACGTGCCACCTTTTGAACTGCAGCCTCTCCTAAAAGTTCTCAACAAACGTCCTTAACAGCAGGTAGGATCAACTCTTCACCAATAATAAAGGGCTTCTCAGCTTTAGCAATGCAGTTAGCCACTAAGAATGATGTTCTCAATGCAGACACATTTGATGAAGTGAGGGCCTTCAATAATTGCTTCCGTTCTTCATGTTCAGACTTTTTTTTCTTTTGAAAAACTCCAAAGGCTTGTCTTTTAATGCAGGGTGATTGGTCTCCATGTAACGAAGGAGTTTTGAAGGTTTCTTGGCTTTGTTGGATAGCCGATCATCACATATAATGTAAATTTGGTTTGGAGAATGTGAATCACCTGTTGCAATGAACCTGTAAATTAGGTAGGGCTCTTGGTATTTTCTTTTAAATGCAGCTTTCTTTTTGTTGGGAGTCTCAGAGTCTTCGGCTGCCTCATCATTGAGACTTTCCCCCTTTCCAAAGAAGCTCTTCAGTAACATTTGTTTTTTACTCATTTGGCTAGGGTTAGCTTGTGGGCTTACTATAACTGTGACTGAGTCAAGTGCACAGTGCAGGAAAGAGGCATGAACAGAAGTGGTAAATAAAATAATGGACAGGCCATGTGCAGACTAAAATAAGTGTCAGATTCTGACTTAAAGCCTGTTACCAGATGCATCTGTACAATTGAAGTACATTGCTTGCCACTATAAAGGCTGCCACCAGATGCAGCTTGTCACTGCCACTCACTAATAGGGTTTTGATAGGAGTCTGCAAGAAATTGATTTATTATGGTCTCTGTGCAAACCTCTCTGCTAATGTTAATCTGTACTTGCAGCCACTCCCCAGTGCTAGCATCACCACCTCAGCTCCACCTCAGATCATCAGGCATTAGATTCTCATAAGGAGTTCACAATCTAGATCCCTCACTTGCACATTTCACAATAGGGTTCACACTCCCATGAGAATCTAATGCCACTGCTGATCTGACAGGAGGCAGTGCTCAGGTGGTAATGCAAATGATGAGGAGGAACTGTAAATACAGATGAAGCTTTGCTCACTTGCTCACCTCCTGCTGTGTGGCTTGGTTCCTAATAGGCCATAGGCTGCTATAGGGGTTGGCAACCCCTGCTCTAAATTAACTTGCATTTTCTAAAATTCTATATAAATGAAATAATCAAGTATGTTTTTTGTCTGGCATTTTTAATTCAGCACAGCTTTTTGAGATTTGTCCCTGTAGTTGTATATTTCAATAGTTTATTTCCTTTTATTGCTGAATGGTATTCAATTGTGTGGATATATCACAATTGTTCATTAATTGACTTGAGACGTTTGTGTTGTATCCAGTTTGGGGTACTGAAAATAAAGTTACTATGAACATTCTTGGACAAGTTTTGTTTGCATAATATCAGGAAACAATCCTCTACAAATATTTTTGTTTTTCTGAATTGTCGAGGCTTTCTGGGCAAAGGATACTGGCTCTTAGATTAGGAGATGAATGAACAGCAACTCTAAAGACAGAATTCTATAAGGAGATATAAGATATAGTCTCATCTCTCCTAAAGGCCATCATTTAATTCCATTTGCAAGTGTAATTGACCTGGAGACTTTCCTTCTTCTCCCCAGAGAGGATCTGCTGGCATTCCATATACTCCAGAGCAAATCTCTCTTCTCTCACTCTCTCTCTTTTTCTCTTTCTTTCTCTCTCAACCCAGAAGGGGTATATTGGACAACTGCTCTATATAAACTCTGTAATTAATAATTTTGGAGTTCCTTTCCTATGGTGCAAACTCTCCTCCACACACTGTGTCATCCCATGGAGTATTGAAGTGTGGAGAAATGGCAGGAAGATAGTCTCTGAGTAAATAATTAATCTGTCTATAATCCAGTAACTTCATATGTCCTATAAGGATATATAAATAAATATAGACACATTTTTCATTCTCTCACATAAATACTTAGGAGTGGAATAGCTGCATTAAATTATAGATATATGTTTAACTTTTTAAGAAAATTCCTAATGGTTTTATAAAATAGTTGCACCATTTTTCATTCTCACCAGCAGTGTGTGAGAGTACCCATTTCTTCATATCCTCACCAGTACTTGATGTAATTCATCTTTTTATTTTTTCCATTCTTGTAGGTATATCATATCACTTGACTGTGATTTTAATTTTCATTTTGCTAATAATTAATGATTTTAAGTATATTTTCATGTCTTTATTTTCCATGTATAAATCTTCTCTGGTGATGTGTCTATTCTTTTGACCCTGTTTGAAATTTTTTAATTGGTTGGCTTTTCTTCTTATTGAGTTGAAAAAGTTCTGTATATAATCCAGTTACAAGGCCTTTGTTGGATGTATGTTTTCCAAGTACTTACTTACAAAACAGCTTATCTTTTTATGTTCATAATAGTGTCTTTCAAAGAGTAAAAAATTTAATTTTGATACAGTTGAATTTTTACTTTTTCCTTAAAAGTTCATGATTTTTGCATCCTGTTCAAAAAATGTTTGCCAAATCTAAAGTCATTAGTTCTTGCTATATTTTCTTCTAGATTTTTTATACATTTATGTTTTAAATGTATACATATGATTGATTTTGAGGGTTTTTTGTATATAGTATAAGACACAGATCTAAGTTCTTTTTTTGCAAATAGATGCCTAATTATTTCAGCATCATTTATTGAACAGACTACTCTTTCTCCATTGCACTCTTATTAAAAATACATTGTTTACACCTGTGTGGGTCTATTTCTCTATTATCTTCCATAAATTTAGTTGTCTATCTTTGTCCCAATGCCATGCCACCTTGACAGCTGTAGCTTTATAGTAAGTCTTAAAATCATGTAGTGTAAACCCTATAACTTTGTCTTTTATCAAACTTGTTTTTCTTATTCTATGTTCTTTGCATTTCTGTATGAATTTTAGAATTAGCATGTCAATTAAAAAAAGACTACTGGGATTTTGATTGGGATTTCATTGAATCTATATATCAGTTTGTGAAGAACTGACATCTTGACAATTTTGAGTCTTCTGACCCACTGACACAGCATATATTTAGTTAGGTCTTCTTTAATTTCTCTCAACAATGTACTGTAGTTTTCAGTATTTAGGCCTGCACAGCTTTTCTTAGGGTTATCTCTAAGTATGTATTTTTTGCTACTATATTGTTTTCCAATTTTAACTCTGATTGTTCATTGCTAGTACACAGAAAGAGAATTGATATTTATCTATGAATTGGTTATCTGCAATCTTGATAAGTCTTCTCATTTTTTACTAGTTATTTTTTGTAAATTTTAGTTACTTTTTTGTAGATTCTATAGCTCACTGATGCCCTTTTAATTTTTTCCATTTTTAGTTTTATTTTGGATAGTTTGTGTTGTGGAGTGTGTAAATACATATATCTCATATTCTTCAGTGTCTAATATGTGCATTTTTATCTCAGTCTATTAATCACATATAGTGTATTTTTCGTCTCAGACATTGTAGTTTTCACCTCTAGAGGTTCATTTTGAGTCTTTTAAAATATCTTTCACATTTCTGCTTAAGCATTTAAAGATATACAGTGAAAATAATTGCTCAATATATTTGTCTGCTAATTATAACGTGTCATTTCTGAGTCAGTTTATATTGATATATTTCTCCTCATTATGAATTGTGTTTTCCCACTTCTTTGTATGCCTGATAATTTTTCATTGGATATCATACATTGTGCATTTTACCTTGTTGGGTATTAAGTATTTTTGTATTTGTATAAATACTCTTGAGCTTTTTTTCTGGAATTCAGTTAAGTTGCTTGGCAACAGTTTGATTATTTTCAGGTCTTGCTTTTTAAAATGTTTAAGGCAGGACCAGAGTAGTATTTAGTCTACAGCTAAATACTAGATACTGTATTATTTCCCTATATTGAATCAAGACACCTCTGGGTACTCTATCCACTGCTCTGTAATTTATGTGGTTTTCTTGACTGGCTTGTAGGTCTATTCCCAATCCTGAGGTGATCATTGGGAACCGTCCCTCTAACAATTTTGTGTGGTTCTTTCCACAGTCTTAGACTCTTGCCTTGTGTGCTTGCACTGATCAGTATACTGCTGAAAACTCAAGGGGAAATCCAAAATCTCTGGTGTTGTCTGTACAGATCTGTCTCTGGTACTTTCTCCCACAAATTTAAACCTTCTTGGTCTCCTTCAATCAGAGGTCTGCCAGGCTCAAATTTTGTCTCCTCTCCCTGAGCCCAGGCCTAGAAATATTTTCAGACCTAGGACAGTCTTAGGGCACACCTTGTTTGTTTCTTATTTCTTTTTTTTTTTTTTTTTTTTTTTTGAGACGGAGTCTCATCATTGCCCAATGTCCAATGTCTTGAAAATCATTGTTTTACATATGGAGTCCAGTTTTTTGTTGCTGTTTCTTATGAGAGGATAAATCTGGTGCCTGTTTCTTGTCACAAACCAGAAGTCCCCCTCTGTTCTGTTTTCTTTTGGAAAGCTTATATTGTCAGAAGATATCTTTACTTAGGATTTTATGACAACTATCAGCAGTTCCAGACATATGTCTTCATAGCTCCACTCCCAGAAGAAAAGATCTCAACTCCTTTCCTGGTTGCTGAAGTAAAAATTTCCAAGTTGGTACTGATTAAACTTGACTGGCTGGACATCAGTCAGGTGTATATACTGAAGCAATCACTGTGGCTTGCGGGGGTGCTGTGTTCTGCTGGGGTCACCATGCATCTCTGTCAACCCCAGAACCAGAAGATAAATAAAACTTACTTTATTCATTCAATTAAAAAATTTTAGGTCATTTTGTTTTGTTGTCTGTTTGTTTTACTTTTAAATCATTTAATTAACTGTTACAGCTTTATATTAATTCAGTTCAGCTAAATTAATGTTTTGGTCCCAACATTATAGATATTCTCTGTTCAAGATCATAAATGAAATACACTTTTATTAATAAGATATTTTCATTACAGAAAAGAATATTTAAAATAATAGTAAGCTTCTGCTTTATCTCTTTTCTACATCAAATGTTTGCATCATTTTTCCAATTAGTTAACTTCTCAAGTTATCTGTTTTCAATTCTGTATAGACTTTCATGGTTTATTTTATATTAAAGATTAGGAATATGCAAACACAGATTCATTGTTAGTAAGGACTTTCAAATTTTTATCTTGTTCTAAATTAGTTTAAATAAAGTTACTGATTCTTTGCTGACCAATGGTTTTCACGCTGCTTCTTGTGAGTAAAACAAATGGGGTGAGGCGAAAATGTACTCTTTCCTCCCTCATTTATATTTCTAAATGACTTGTGAATAGGTAGATATATCCTAGGAAAGACATCAACATTATTATCAAATTACATATCACCTATTTTTTTCAATGAACTTTCCCACATTTTCTAGAGTCTCCTTAAAAGTAGGATCATCATTAAAATATAACTAAAATGTGTTATTTAATACATCTTTCATTTTTTAATGTCACAAGTAATCATGCACCTTATATTAGAATAATTTCCATCTTCTAACTCCAGCTGTTCAAAATGGCATGAAATTCATTTAAAAACTTATAGAACTATTGGACTGAGATTTCTTTAAATAAAAGTTTTGTGACAAATAAAGTTATATCTGCCTAGTCTTCAGAACAACAGAATGCCTACTGGGAAATGCTAGCTGGGAGTCAACCCATTGGATACATTTAATTTACACCTGGCTACTTCTCTTCACAAATCATCTCTAATTGCAGACAGGTACAATAATCTAAAGTTTGAATGACATTTCTTGAGCATGAATCAATGTATTCACTTCAGAAATGCTTAAGCTGTCCATTTTTCCTTTATTATTTTCCTAAAATGTTAGTTCTTTGAGAAAAAATGATATAGCAGCTCATTAAGTTAGATTAAATAATCCTTTTTTTCCTGAGGACTACATCAATGCAATCTGTATGGTTTTATTTTTTATTTCTCATCAGGATTGGATAGTGTTGATATGCCTCTACACACATTTTAAAACTACATAAAACTTTTGTCAAAAAGTCCAAGAAGAGTTCTTAATTATAGGACTCTCCCTGTCTACGTTTATAAAAACAATCAGTCAGAATGACAGTTGGTGAAACAATTAGCATTTTTGTGTTTCAGTTTCTCTTATATGGCTACATGATGTGATTTGATTTTTTCAAGACATTTTTACCAACTTTTCTTATTCACTTTATCCCATCATAGTGTCATTTAAGTGAGTAGCTGCTGCTCAGAAACTAACATATAACCTCAAAATGAATATATTGATTTGTGACATGAACCCATCACTTAGCATGTTATAAAATGGCAGGCTATTAAAATATTGATGGATGGCTATGCCCTTTTTTTTTTTTTTTTTTTTGAGATGGAGTCTTGCTCTGTCACCCACGCTGGACTGGAGTGGTGCAATCTTGGCTCGCTGAAACCTCCACCCTCTGGGTTTAAGCAATTCTTCTCCATCAGCCTTCCAAGTAGCTGGGATTACAGGTACCCCCCCTCCACACCCAGATAATTTTTGTATTTTTAGTAGAGATGGGGTTTCACCATGTTGTCCAGGCTGCTCTCAAACTCCTCCCTTCAATTGATCAACTCACCTTGGCCTCCCAAAGTGCTGGGATTACAGGTGTGAGGCACCGTGCCTGGCCTAAATTCACTTAAAATTTAAAAGTAAGCATTCATTCAGTGTTGACATTGGAGACTCCAAGCCTCCTTCAATGAGTTAAATATACTTTGTTAAAAACTGGTCATAGATGGCTGAGTGCAGTGGCTCACACCTGTAATGCCAGCACTTTGGGAGGATGAGGTGGGTGGATCACCTGAAGTCAGGAGTTCAAGACCAGCCTGGCCAACATGGTGAAACCCCATCTCTATTAGAAGTACAAAAAATTAGCTGGGTGTGGTGGCTGACACCTGTAATCCCAGCAACTTGGGAGGCTGAGGCAGGAGAATCGCTTGAGCTGGGGAGGCAGAGGTTGCAGTGAGCCAAGATTGTGCCATTGCACTCCAGCCTGGGCAACAAGAGCAAAACTCCGTTAAAAAACAAAACAAAACAAAACAAAACAAAAAAACTGGTCACAGATTTCACTTCTGGCCTAAGTGAAAATATAGAGACCAGATTTACCCAGTCACTTGAAACAATGAAAAAACATATCAGACAAGTGATATCTAAAAACAGATATGAAATACAGTGATTCCTAAGAGACAGAAAAAAAAATGAGGTAATCCCTACTATTGTCCCCAAACCACTGCCTTGAGTAAGTTTCCAGGCTGTGACCTAAGGAGAGGAACATGGGCATGGGCTGGAAGAGTCCATAATTGAAGAGAAGAAGCTCAGAGCCCATGGAGACAAAGGCAGTTAGAGTTCTCAGGGAAGAGAAACAGAGATGTTGTAGCTGCAAAGAAAAAGAACCCCAGAGTGCTGAAAAGGGTTTTCCTCAAGTATTCAGCAAAGTACTGATTGGTGTATACACACTAGGAAACTCTTGAGTCTAGGGAAGAACCATCTGAAAGAAATAAAGGAAGAGGTACCTCAGTCAGGGTCAGAATTAGTGAATGCTCCCCTAAGCCAGTTTGGAAATTCCTATAATTCACAGGTATTGGGTGGAGTTATTAGAAGAGTATTCCCTCAGAGTGAAGTATTTTGCTCTAGACAAAACATTATTGTGTCCTTACATAACAAATCTTAAAAGCAAGACTAAAAAATGAAATTGTTTCCAAGAAACTTAACAACATTATGGAACAAAGCTCAAAAATATTAATAGTAATACAAAACATCCAGCATAAACAAGGTAATGTTATTTTCCTTACATGGTTAAAAGAGAAGGGACTTCTTTATTACACTAAAACAGGTTTAGCAGAATCTCTTCTTTTATAGAAAAATTGGACCACTTTAAAGTTTAGTTGGATAATGGAACATTTTGGACAAGTAACTTCATTCTGGTTTGGTCTGATCTGCTAGGGTCTAATGCAGAAAGCTAGCTCAATCTCCCAGAAGCTTTGTTTCACAAGTGACGTTCAAATATTTTCACTCATTCTATAGGTTGTCTTCTCACTCTGTTGATTGTTTTCTTGGTTGTGCAGAAGCTTTTTAGTTGGTGGTGATCTCATTTGTCTATTTTTGCTTTTATTGTCTCTGCTTTTGGGGTGATATCCAAAAACTCATTTCCCAGACCAATGTCATGGAGCTTTTTCTGCATATTTTCTACTAGTAGTTTTACAGTTTCAGGTTTTGCTTTAACTATTTAATCCATTTTGAGTTGGTTTTTATATATGATGTGAGACCAGAGTCTAATTTCACTATTTTGCATGTGAATATCCAGTTGTTCCAACACTATTTTAAAAATAACTGTTCTTCTCCTGTTGTATGTATTTGGCACCTTTGTCAAAAATCAATTGACCATAATTCATGGATTAATTTCCAGGCTCTCTATTTTGTTCCATTGGTCTCTGGGTTTATTTTTATGCCAGTAGCATGCTGTTTTGATTACTATAGCTTTATAATGTATTTTGAAGTCAGGTAGTATGCTGCCTCCAGCTTTTCTTTTATGCTCAAGATTTCTGTGACTTTTGGGGTCTTTTGAGGTTGCAGATCAAGCCAGAATAGACTCATTTGCACTAAGTTTTATGTAATCAAACTAAACTTTAAAATGGGATAGTTTTCTTTAAAAAACAAGTGATTCCAATTAGCCTAAATCAGTGTAATAAGTCCCCTTAATTTTAATCCTATAAGGAAAGTAACTTTGAAATGACAAATCAACTTTTGTTCTCTGTTTCTGCTTTTTTCAGACTTTTCTTTTGCCTAGAAAACCAACCTACCCTGCTCAGTTAATGAAAACACTCATTCTATTGTGTAGAATGAGGTGTTGCCTGATTTTAGAATTGGAGATAGAAACCAATTAGATCTTTAAGCTAAATTTGTTGTAACTTCACCTTTTGACACATACATCTGATACATATACATCTGATACATTCTTAATACATATGCAATATGTATAAAGAGCTCAAACAACTCAATAGTAAGAAAACAATAAGCTGATTAAAAAATGGACAAGAACTTAAATATACATTTCTCAAAAGAAGATATCAGTATTCTAATTTTGTCAGTTTTCTTACTTTTGCCAGTTAAGTTTTATACTTTTAAATGTTTACTTATTACAGGTTAATATCCATTTCTTTCACAGACCTCCTTTTAGCATTTCCTTTAAGATAGGTCTGGTGTTGATGAATTTTCTCAGCTTTTGTTTGCCTGGGAAAGTGTTTATCTTTTTTTTATGTTTAAGGATACATTTCCTGGAAACAGTATTCTTGGTTGTCAGTTATGTTTCTTAAGTGCTTTGATTATAGCATCCTACTCTCTCTTGGGCTGCAGAGTTTCTACTGAGAAATCCACTGAAAGCTGTATTGGCACTCCATTGAATGTAACATGTTCTTTTTCTCATGCTCCTTGAAGAGTCTTTCTTTGTTTCAATTTTTACTAAAGTGATTATGATGTGCCTTGAGGAATTCCTCTTTAAGTTGAATTTGATTGGTAATCTCTGAGCTTCCTGTACCTGGATGCTGTCATCTTTCTCCAGACCTGGGAAATTTTCAGCCTTTATTTGCTTAAATGTCTCTCTTGTCTCCTTTGGGAAGTCCAATCATGCAGAGATTAGTTCACTTGATAGTGGTCCATAGTCCTCATAGGCCTTCTTTAATCTTTTTTTTTAATCTTTTTGTGCCTCTAATTGGCTGATTTTTTATGTTCTGTCTTCAAACTTGCCCATTCTTTTCTCTGTTTGATCAAGTCTGCTGTTGAATCTTTCTAATGAGTTTTTCAGTCAGTTACTATATTTTTTACTTCTAGGATTTATAATACTTTCATACTGTTGGTGGGAATGTAAATTAGTATGTAATTTTGAAAAACAGTATGAAAGTTTCTCAAAAAATTAAAAACAGAATGGCATGTGATCCAGCAATACCACTGCTGGGTATATATCCAAAAATAATAAAATCAGTATGTCAGATATCTGCACTCCCATGTTCATAGCAGCATTATTCATAATAGCCAGTCAACCTACTTATACATCAACAGATTAATGAAGACAATGTGCTGTATATAGAAACTGGGATACTATTCAGCCTTTTTAAAAAGGAAATTCTGGGCTGGGCGCAGTGGCTCACACCTGTAATCCCAGCATTTTGGGAAGCCAAGGAGGGCAGATCACAAAGTCAAGTGATCGAGACCATCCTGGCCAATATGGTGAAACCCCGTCTCTACTAAAAATACGAAAATTAGCCAGTCATGGTGGCGGGTGCCTGCAGTCTCAGCTACTCACAAGGCTGAGGCAGGAGAATAGCTTGAACCCGGGATACGGAGGTTGCAGTGAGCCGAGATCATGCCACTGCACTCCAGCCTGGCGACATAGCGAGACTCCATCTCAAAAAAAACGAAAAAACAAAAAAGTAAACCAAACCAAAACAAAACAAAACAAAAGGTAATTCTGTCATTTGCAATAACATGAATGAATGTGGTGAAAATGCAGAGATTTTCAGATTAAATAAAAAGCGAGAACCTAGCAAGACTAATAAAGAAGAAAAGAGAGAAGAATCAAATAGACGCAATAAAAAATGACAAAGGGGATATCACCACCGATCCCACAGAAATACAAACTACCATCAGAGAATACTATAAACACCTCTACATAAATAAACTAGAAAATCTAGAAGAAATGGATAAATTCCTCAACACATACACTATCCCAAGACTAAACCAGGAAGAAGTTGAATCTCTGAATAGACCAATAACAGGCTCTGAAATTGAGGCAATAATTAATAGCTTACCAACCAAGAAAAGTCCAGGACCAGACGGATTCACAGCCGAATTCTACCAGAGGTACAAGGAAGAGCTGGTACCAATCCTTCTGATCTATTCCAATCAATAGAAAAAGAGGGAATCCTCCCTAACTCATTTTATGAGGCCAGCATCATCCTGATACCAAAGCCTGGCAGAGACAAAACAGAAAAAGAGAATTTTAGACCAATATCCTTGATGAGCATTGATGCAAAAATCCTCAATAAAATACTGGCAAACTGAATCCAGCAACACATCAAAAACTTATCCACCATGATCAAGTGGGCTTCATCCATGGGATGCAAGGCTGGTTCAACATACGAAAATCAATAAATGTAATCCAGCATATAAACAGAACCAAAGACAAAAACCACATGATTAGCTCAAAAGATGCAGAAAAGGCCTTTGACAAAATTCAACAACCCTTCATGCTAAAATATCTCAATAAATTAGGTATTGATGGGACATATCTCAAAATAATAAGAGCTATCTATGACAAACCCACAGCCAATATCATACTGAATGGACAAAAACTGGAAGCATTCCCTTTGAAAACTGGCACAAGACACAGATGCCCTCTCTCACCACTCTTATTCAACATAGTGTTGGAAGTTCTGGCCAGGGCAATCAGGCAGGAGAAGGAAAAAAAGGACATTCAATTGGGAAAAGAGGAAGTCAAATTGTCCCTGTTTGCAGATGACATGATTGTATATCTAGAAAACCCCATCGTCTCAGCCCCAAATCTTCTTAAGCTGATAAGCAACTTCAGCAAAGTCTCAGGATACAAAATCAATGTACAAAAATCACAAGCATTCTTATACACCAATAACAGACAAACAGAGAGCCAAATCATGAGTGAACTCCCATTCACAATTGCTTCAAAGAGAATAAAATACCTAGGAATCCAACTTACAAGAGATGTGAAGGACCTCTTCAAGGAGAACTACAGACCACTGCTCAAGGAAATAAAAGAGGATACAAACAAATGGAAGAACATTCCATGCTCATGGGTAGGAAGAATCAATATCGTGAAAATGGCCATACTCCCCAAGATAATTCATAGATTCAATGCCATCCCCATCAAGCTACCAATGACTTTCTTCACAGAATTGGAAAAAACTACTTTAAAGTTCATATGGAACCAAAAAAGAACCTGCATCGCCAAGTCAATCCTGAGCCAAAAGAACAAAGCTGGAGGCATCAAGCTACCTGACTTCAAACTATACTACAAGGCTACAGTAACCAAAACAGCATGGCACTGGTACCAAAACAGAGATATAGATCAATGGAACAGAACAGAGCCCTCAGAAATAATGCCGCATATCTACAACTATCTGATCTTTGACAAACCTGAGAAAAACAAGCAATAGGGAAAGGATTCCCTATTTAATAAATGGTGCTGGGAAAACTGGCTAGCCATATGTAGAAAGCTGAAACTGGATCCCTTCCTTACACTTTATACAAAAATTAATTCAAGATGGATTAAAGACTTACATGTTAGACCTAAAACCATAAAAACCCTAGAAGAAAACCTAGGCATTACCATTCAGGACATAGGCATGGGCAAGGACTTCAGGTCTGAAACACCAAAAGCAATGGCAACAAAAGCCAAAATTGACAAATGGGATCTAACTAAACTAAAGAGCTTCTGCACAGCAAAAGAAACTACCATCAGAGTGAACAGGCAACCTACAAAATGGGAGACAATTTTTGCAATCTACTCATCTGACAAAGGGCTAATATCCAGAATCTACAATGAACTCAAACAAATTTGCAAGAAAAAAACAACCCTATCAAAAAGTAGGCGAAGGATATGAACAGACATTTCTCAAAAGAAGACATTTATGCAGCCAAAAGACACATGAAAAAATGCCCATCATCACTGGCCATCAGAGAAATGCAAATCAAAACCACAATGAGATACCATCTCACACCAGTTAGAATGGCAATCATTCAAAAGTCAGGAAACAACAGGTGCTGGAGAGGATGTGGAGAAATAGGAACACTTTTACACTGTTGGTGGGACTGTAAAGTAGTTCAACCATTATGGAAGTCAGTGTGGCGATTCCTCAGGGATCTAGAACTAGAAATACCATTTGACCCAGTCATCCCGTTACTGGGTATATACCCAAAGGATTATAAATCATGCTGCTATAAAGACATATGCACATGTATGTTTATTGCGGCACTATTCACAATAGCAAAGACTTGGAACCAACCCCAATGTCCAACAATGATAGACTGGATTAAGAAAATGTAGCACATATACACCATGGAATATTATGCAGCCATAAAAAATGATGAGTTCATGTCCTTTATAGGGACATGGATGAAGCTGGAAACCATCATTCTCAGCAAACTAT
Source organism: Homo sapiens (assembly GCF_000001405.40). NCBI lineage: Eukaryota > Metazoa > Chordata > Mammalia > Primates > Hominidae > Homo > Homo sapiens. The sequence continues at coordinate 101,246,247 of NC_000006.12, read as the reverse complement.
CGCAAGGACAAAAAACCAAACACCGCATGCTCTCACTCATAGGTGGGAATTGAACAATGAGAACACATGGACACAGGAAGGGGAACATCACACACCGGGGACTGTTGTGGGGTAGGGGGAGGGGGGAGGGATAGCATTAGGAGATATACCTAATGCTAAATGACGAGTTAATGGGTGCAGCACACCAACATGGCACATGTACACATATGTAACAAACCAGCACGTTGTGCACATGTATCCTAAAACTTAAAGTATAATAATAATAAAAAAAAGCGAGAATCAACTGTGTGCTGCCTACCGATGCAAAAAAAAATGGCTTTTAAATATAGAAAAATATATGCTAAAAGCAAAAGAATTGAGGAAAGTTATACTATGCTAACACTAATTATGGAAATGCTGGAGTGGTTATATTAATATTAGTCAATATCAGAGCAAAGAATATTACCTTGGATAAAGTTATTTTGTGATGATAAAAAGGTCAATTCCTCAATAAGCATAACAATCCCACCTAGTAACAGCTTTAAAATATATTAACCAATAACTAATAGAACTGCATGAAGGAATTGACAAACACATAACTATCATCAGAGATTTTAACACCCCTCTCTCTCTCTAAGAGAACAAGTAGAAAGAAGTATTATAGTAGACATAAACAACACTATTAACCGATGTCACTTAATAGGTGTTCAGTGAAGACTCCATGCAACAACAGAAGACTACAAATGCTTTTAACTGTATGTGAAACATTTAACAAGATAGATCTTATTCTGGGGCAAAAAAAAAAAAAAAAGGAAACCAAAATTTCAATAAATTTTCAAGTATCGAAATCATACTGTGTTCTCTTTGGAAATAAATTAGAAACCAATAACAGAAATATTTCTGGAACATCCCCTAATTAAAAAAATATAAGTAACACATAGAAGGAACTCATTGGTCAAAATGTCAAAAGGTAAATTATAAATATTTTGAAGTGAGTAAAAATGAAGCAACATACAAAATTTGTGGGATAAAGGTAAAGTAGTACTTTGTATAAAATCTGTAGCACTAGATGCCTATATTAGATGAAAATCTTAAATAAATGTAGGTTCTGCCTTATAAAACTAAAAAATACAAGTAAATTAAACCCAAAGTGAGCAAAGAATAAAATAAAATAAAATTTAAAGAAAAAAATCAATAAAATAGAAAACAAGAAAAATACAAAGGAAATCAATGAAACCAAGAGCTGGTTATTTGAGAAGATCAATACATTTAATCATCCATAATGATCAATTTTTAAAAAACAAACACATACAAATTACCAATAGTAGTAATGAGAGGTAAGGTATGCGTCATTACAGAATCTATGGATATTAAGCATATACTAAAGCAACATTACGCATAACTTTATGCCAATGAGTCTGACAATATAAATAAATAGATAAATTTTTTGAAATACGTAAACTACCAAAGCTCACTAATAGGATCTGGATAGCCCCATATCTGTTAAAGAAATTGAATTTGTAGTTAGAAATCTTTCCACTGAGAAAACTGCAATCTCAAGTAGCTTCCTAGTTTATTTTTTTCAGGAAACCAAAGAGCACAAAGTACTTACCAACTCTTCTATGAAGCCATCACTGACCTGAAAGCAAAATAAAAACATTACAAGCAAATAAAACTAAAAATAATGCCCCTCCCAAATACAAATGCAAAATTATTAATAAAATTTTAGCAAACAAAACTCAACAATATAGAAAATGAATACTACATTTTGTCCAAGTGGGATATATCCCAAGAATGCAAGGTATATTCAAAAACTCAAAAAGAAAAAATTATGTTATCATTATTAAAACTGAAAATTCATAGTTCATAATAAAAGAGATGACCTTAGAAAATAATCAAAATGGAAAAATAATACAATAGCATCAAAAAGTGAAATAAATAGGGATGCATCTAACAAAAGATGTGCAAGGCCTATATACTGAAAACTAAAATACACTGCTAAGAGACATCAAAGCAGACCAAAATAAATGGAATTATACACTGTTTGATGGGTCATAAGACCCAATATTTTTACGATGTCACTTCTAATTTGGATTTGATGTCATTCAAATTAAAATTCTTGTAGACGTTGTTTTAAAAATTGGCAAGCTAAATTCTGAAATCTAACATCAAAAAGAAATACAAAGGATGTACAATAAGCAAAACAACTTTGATTTAGAAAAAAATGTTGGATGACTAACACTACCTAATTTGAATACTTAAATCTACAATAATCAAAACAGTGTGATTCGGTATAAAGATAGAGAAAAAGAAGAATGGAACAGAATAGAGAGTTCAGAAATAGACTCGAACATATATACAGATAACTGGTATTGAACAAAGGTTCAAAGGCATGTCCTTAGAGAAAGGATAGTCTTTTCAACAAATGGTGCTGAAACTACTGAATATCCATATGCAAAAAACTGAGCTTTTTCTATAATTTGCACCATATATAGAAGTTAGCTTAAAGTGGATTATAGACCTAGATATAATACATTAAACATAAATCTCTAGAATAAAACAAAACACTTTTGTATCCTTAAATTAGACAAAAGACAAGATAAAACATCAAAAGTATAGTCCATCAAAAAATATATGGACCTTTGCAAAATTAAAAACGTTTGCTTTTTGAGAGACTCTGTTATAAGAATTCAAAAACAAACCACAGACCAAAGAAAATATTTACAAATCATATATCTGATAAAGGATTGGTATTTACAATATATAAAGACATCTTAAACTGAATAATAAGAAAACAACTCTATTTTTTCAAAAATGGAAGAGGATATACTAATGGCAAATAGTCACAAGAAAATATAATCAAGATAACTACAATGAGATAATACTACATACCTACTAAAATGACTAAAATTAAAAATATTTACCACACCAAGTGTTAGTGATGGGGCGGGGGAACTAGAACTCACATACACTGCTGGTGAAAATATGAAATAATACAACCATATTGGGAAACAGTTTGGAACTTTATTAAGAAGTTAAAAATATATCTATATCACATGTAATTTCCTAAGAGAAATGAAAGTATATATCTATACAAAATCTTGTATATGAGGGCCTATAGTAGCTTTTTTGGCAATAGACCAAAAATGGGTACCACCCAAGCATAAACCAACTGGTAAGTGGATAAACAAGTTGTGATGTATCCATACAATGAAATAATATTCACCAATAAATAAGAATTAACTATTAATCTACAAAACAACTTGGATGAATTTTAAAATAATTATGCTAAGTAAAAATAAAAAACAAAAACATAAAGCAAGCTGAGACAAGAAATGACCAGGGTCTGGGTAGCATATTGAATATAGCTAGGCTGGAAGTCAGATATACCCCAGCACTTTTTAGTTAAGTATGTGATTAAACCTAATCTTTGGGCAACTTATTTTAGATTGTATTCACTGTCATATGAAACAGAGAAACAATAATGTCAATTGTCTTTTTAATATTGTTCTCTGAGGTATATTATCATTCAAAATTATATCAATCACATTAAAAAGTTGAGACTTGACATAATTAGCAAAGTATTACTTGATCTCCCAAAGCCCTGCCTTCATTGTATGTAGCTTTATTCCTGGTAACCACAGGCTGCATTACTGTGACTGCATTTTCCCTACGTTCCAAAAGCTAGCAGATATTGCAGATATCTGCTAGTTTTTGGAATGTAGGGGAAATGCATCATCACTGCCTTTGTCTTAACCATGTCTGAATAGAGTTCACAAGTTTAGTAAATAGAAATACAAATATTGCATGAACCATAGATATAATAAAACATAATTCTTTGTTTATCTGAAATTCAAATGTGACTGGGAATTCTGTACCTTCTCTGGCAACCATAGATAAGATAATTTCAGGTCTTTGTCTTTGACATTCTATATCCGAGACACACTTTTGGTACCAGAGAAATCATTGTAGTTATTTCAAGCAGAATGGAATTGAATAAAGGGAATTCTAGGCTTGCAAATATGTCAGAAGGCGGAAAAATAACAGGGAAGACTCCTTCTACCTCTTAAGTTTGTCATTAGATTTCAGGAAAATCTTCTCACGTCAGGAACTGCAGGAAAACAGTTGCAATGCCCATGGCTACCGACAACACCAAAGAGATAATTCCTGAGGGAACTCTCTAAAGAGGCCCATTTGGAGGCTGATGCAAGTTTCCCATCTTCACATATGACCATTAAAGGCATATATATGTAAATGTTTGAATCAGCTTTACTTTTAAGAGCCAAAAACTTGTAACAATACAAATGTCCATTAAGAGTGCAATAGATAATAAAATATGGCATGGTCATATAATGGACTACTACACAAGAACTAAAAAATGAAATACTGCCACATACAGCAAATGGATAAGTCTTACAGACAACATACTGAACAAAAGAAGCCAAACAATGCAAAAACCATACATAACTGTGTGAGACAATTTACATGAATTCCAAAAGCAGGCAAAGCTAAACTGTTAGAAATCACAATTGTGGTTACCTCAGGTGGGTATTGATTGACAAATGACATGAAGAAAACCTCTGGGATGATGAAAATGTTCTGTGTCTTTATCAGGGTGTTGGTCACACAGATACTTGCATATGTAAATATTCACCAAGCTGTAAACTTAATAATAATGCATTTTACAGGGTACATTGGGTTTTTTTTGTTGTTGCTGTTGTTGTTTTAAGTCATATTTTCTGGAGCCCACACAACTATCTACCACTACTGGAGGAGGAATAACATTCCCCACTTTCCTTACAAATTCCAAATGTCATCAAGTGTCTCTTGGTAGAAACTAGAACTATATGAGCAAGGGACTCTAGAGAATTCAGTGCCCAGGATTCTGACCCCAGCAAAACAGGGGACAGGATAAGATGGAGTAGGAATGATGCTGAGTGTTCTTCACAATACTTTTATCTTGTAGAGAGTGAATGAAAAGCAAAGAATAAAAGTGTTTTAGATTGTGGGCACTGCAGATAATATTTTTAAAATAATCCCCTTGGAATATCCTACTATCTATAATTTGTGGTTAGCTAGGAACTAGAATATTTAAATTATGACTCCCTATACAATTGCATGATAAACATTTAAATTTTCCTAGAACATGGGAAAAAATCTTAATTAGACTATACTTTAACAAAACAAAACACAAGCTTTAATTCCCCAAAAAGGAATTTTTATTGAAACGGCAGAAAATGCAATATAATTACAAACATATTTCAATAACTTTCTTATCATAATTGCAAATATAAGAGATATATACTATTTTCATGTTTTTATTTTCCTTGTTTTATTTACCTTCCTTAGAAAGGAAATCTTTGAATGCACCCTGTCTAGCTTCAAGTCCATCAATCCAATTTTATGACTTTTTAAATTAGCACATTTTACTACAGAGAAAAATACTTGACATGTTATAAAGTGCATTGCCATTAATTAATAAACTAAATTGCCATGCTTTTTAGGTTTTTCTTCAAATTAAAAAAAATCTGTAATTATGCATACTACAAACCAATAGTTCAAGGTTTTATCACACCACATTACAATGACAAAACACATTACAGAGAATAAGGGTTGCAAGTCTTACAAAACACTATAAAAGTATCTTTTTAAAGATTTGTTGCCTACTCTTCTGCAAATTTTCATCTTTAATACTATCCCTACTGCTATAATTTGTCCTGTATCTTCCAGCATCCTGTTATGGCTCAGACAATATCATTTAACAAGCAAGGCCCATATACTTCTTTTTAATTTGGAAGCCTCCAGTTGTATTCTTAACTTGGTATAGATTTGTCACATTTCCTTATGAAGAAGAACACAGGACAACTTACATAATACAGATATGTTGTTTCATTCCATCTGTCATTTTATCTTTTCCCACCTCCACTGAGTATGGGCATCCTAGGTTCATTTGGATGCATTGTGCTTATATATCCCAGCATGTTCCTGAAGAGAAAAACACTGTCCCTCTAAACTATTCTCCCTACCTTCCTCATAGCATATTTTGTAATTTCAAGTTCACTGGCCATTTCCTTCTGATTTATGGAACACCACTGCACTGCAAGTGTCATCCAATAACTATTCATGAGAACAGTTGCAGCAGGATTACTGGGGGAAAACAGCAACTTGAAACTGTGTTTAACCATGTCAAGGGCCTCTCTTTTCCCATATTCTTTTTAAAAACATGACTAGCACCTTATTGCAATATTGTAGTCATTTCACACTTTTCCATACATCATTGAATACTCATCAGAGGTTGATGAGAACATATTCAAATGTCTTGAATTCAGCTCTATGGCTCTCAGACCCACTAAAATATATGTTACTTTTCTTTCCAAGCTTTTGTTTCTTCATCCCTGCTTTGATTTCCGCATGCTATTTGGCATTCTTTTCCTAATTCCTGTTTCTTTCATGATATCTGAACTCATTTCATAGACTATTCTTCAATTCTTCTCTTCTTCATCGCACTCATCTAAATCTGACCACAGTTCTCTTAAATCGTTCAACATGCTTCTCTTGAATGTTTTAATATATGTAGAGTGTACCCACTTTTTTGTTTTTAATTCTCTTTTCTCCCATCTTTATCATATTTTTTTCTTTTGTTCTCTTAGTTACTTATATCTTAATTTTCTCTCTTGCTTTTTTTTTAATCTATGCTTACAAGAGGCCCCATGATACAGTGGGGAAGCATTAAACAGGAAAGAAGTCTTTGGTTAATATCGGTACATTAACTCTTCCTCTAACCTTGGACAAACTACTGCTCCTCTACCGGCCTCCTTTTTTTTCACTTGTAAATGGGAAGATTGGTTGGAATGTTTTGTGAGGTTGCATCTAGTGCTGGAAATTCTATAATTCTAAGAACCAGTAATAATATCTATACCTATATCTATATCTATATCCGTATCTATATTTATATTATATCTATGTCTAGCAAGCTAGCTATTTTCCTGTTATATTCAATCTGTTTCTTGCACTAAAGTAGAATCAAACTTTTTCTCTCAGTTTCCTGTTCTAAATTCTGCAATATTATATTACTTATTGTTCTTATTCTGGCTTTCACTTGTACTTTATTTTACTGATTTCTGTCTTGTTTTTGGTCTGAACTCTAGAGAAATCAGAGTATAAAATTTATCAGTATCCTGCTCTGTACATTTTAAACCTGGCAACATTTGGTAAACTATGCAACAGTTCATGAGCATATGTACATGTGAATACACACACACACACACACACACACACACACACACACTGCTGCCTTTGGAATCATAGTGGTCTAAGTTCAAACTCCAACTATATACAGTCATGTATCACTTAATGATGTAATTATGTCCTGAGAAAAATTTGCCGTGATGTGATTCTGTCATTGTGCAAACATCATAGAGTGTACTTACAGTGACCTAGATGGTATCACCTACTACACACCTAAGCTATATGGTGTGCTCCTATACTGCAATCCTGTATATCATGTGACTGTACTGAATACTGTAGGTAATTGGAACACAATTATAATAAGCATTTGTGTATCTAAACACAGAAAGGTAGAGTAAAAATGTGGTATAAAAGATAAAATGCAGTACACCTGTATAGAGTGCTTACCATGAGTGAAGCTTAAAGGAGTGAAAGTTGCTTTGGATGAATCAGTGAGTAATTGGTGAGTGAATGTGAAGGCCTAGGACATTACCACACACTACTGTAAACTTTACAAACACTGGACACTTAAGCTACACTAAATTTATAATAACTTTTTTCTTCAATAATAAATTAACCTTAGCTTAAATTTGTCTTTTTAATTTTTAAAACTTTTTGGGTCTTGTAAATACCTTACATACATTGTATATAAATACCTTATATCTTATAATACAAACACATTGTACAGAGATACAAAAATATTTTCTTTATATTCTTATTCCATAAGCTCTTTTCTACTTTTTGTTTTTTAACTTTTTAAACTGTTTTATTAAAAACTAAGATGCAACACACACATTCATCTGGACATATACTGGGTCAGGATAATCAATATCACTGTTTTTCACCTCTATGTGTTGTCCCACTTCAAGATCATCAGGGGTAGTAACATATATAGAGCTGCCATCTCCTATGATAATACTGCCTTCTCCTAGAATACCTCTTGAAGGACCTGCCTCAGGCTGTTTTACACTTAACTTTATCTGTAAGTAGAAGGAGTACACTCTAAAACAAGGATAAAAAGCACAGTATAGTAAACACATACGCCAATAACATAGTCACTTATCATTATTATCAAGAAGTATGTACTATACATAATTTTATGTGCTAGACTTTTATAGCACTGGCAGTGCAGTAGGATTGCTTACCAGCATCACCATGAACACATTAGTAAGTGTTGCGCTGTATTGTTACAATGGCTAAAGGTAATTGTTCAGATACATTATAATCTTATGGTACCACTATTATATATGTGGTAGGTCATTGACCAAACTGTTGTTATGAGGCACATGACTATACTTGTGGACAAGTCACTTCCCTCTCTAAACCTGCATTTCCTCAAATGTGAAAAGAAGGTAATATCTCTACCTCAGAGCTCTGTTATGAGGACTGCACAGGTAATTAATGCATAGCACTCAATACAGCATAGGCATACAGTAGGTCTTCAGTAATTGTCCAGCTGTTTTCCTCCTCCTCATTATTATTATTATTATTATTATTATTATCATTATTATTAAAGACGGAGTTTCACTCTTGTTGCCCAGGCTGGAGTGCAATGGCATGATCTCCACTCACTGCAACCTTCGCCTCCCAGGTTCAAGTCATTCTCCTCCTCAACCTCCCAAGTAGCTGGATTACAGGCATGTGCCACCACACTCGGCTAATTTTGTAGTTTTAGTAGAGATGGGGTTTCACCATGTTGATCAGGCTGGTCTCGAACTTCTGACCTCAAGTGATCCACACACCTTGGCCTCCCAAAGTGCTGGGATTACAGGCGTGAGCCACTACACCTGGCTTATTATTATTTCAAATGCAAGAGCTTCTTGAGGCAAGCCAGATTCCTTGGCCTTCCATGAAGGGCACCATAACTGCGACCTGGTAGAAAGATGGGGTCCTTCAAATCCTTAGATCTATTTTTAATAACTCCTGGAGGAATTCTTCCTTGGTAGATTTTCTGGCAATAATAAGGATTGGCTAGCAATGACTGAATCAACTGTACGTAAAGAAAACTACCTAAGTTTTATTATATGGTGTGAATGGCAGCTCTAGTTTACCTCTTCATCAGTGAGAAACTGATATATCCCTTAGCTAGTGTCATCAAAAGAATAGTATTTGCTCTGGTCCTGAACAAATAGATTTGTCACACACAGCTTCCTCCTTCTTTGTCCAGATAGGAATTCCTTTGTCTGCCAACCACCAAATTCGTGGACTTCACTGTATCCTAACCCTCATTCTCTGCTTTCCCTTTTGCATTACTGGAAAGTATGTCCTGCCAACTTTTCACTTGTGCTCGTGATCCTGTTTCCACTCACCTTCTCTGGGGCTTTTATTCCACGGTCATTCCTGTCTCTCCTGCATTATTTATTCCTTATTCTCTACCATGCCATTACTATCTGCTAATGACAGGTTCTAAGATCTACTCTCTTTAAAATATAAACCTTCCTCGGTTCCAAATCCCTCAGTTACTATTTCATCTCTCATGCCCTTCACAGGAAAACTGAAACAATAAAAGTAAAAATAAATGTTCTCATGTTCTTCACTTCCTTACTTTCCATTCACACTCAGGCTTCCTTCACTTTTGAATCAAAATGCCTCTATCTATAACAATCAAAAACTATCATTTTGTTAAGTCCATATCTACTTCACTGGTTTTCTCTGCTTTGGCCTCTAAGAAGCATTAACAGAGAACTCACTTTTTCTGGAGTATTTTTCCCTTCACTTCCATGGTGTCACATAGCCCTGATTTTCCTTTTCTTCTATCCTCCATCTCCTTTGCTAGACTATCCTCCTCTCTGACTTATTAAGATTTTTCCTAGTTTGGACTGCTAAAACAGAATGCCACAGACAGGGTGATTTACATACAACAAATTTATTTCTCAAAGTTCTGGAGGCTAGAGTCTGAGATTAGGATATCAACATGGTCAGGTTCTGGTGAGGACCCTATTCTGTCTTCTCCTTATGTCCTCATATGGTGGAAAGAAGGTAAGAGATTCTCTGGGGTCCCTTTGGTAAAGGCACTAATCCCATTCATGAGAGATCCACCTTCATGACCTAAATACCTCCCAATGGTCCCACCTTCTAATCCCATCACATTCAGAGTTAAGATTTGAACATATGAATTTGGTGGGGAGGGGGGGTACATTCAGTTGATAACAATATCGGGGAGCCTAGGAGCTCTGTTCTGAGATGTTTGCTTTCATCTTTCTGTAAGTAATCTCTCTGTGTGTAATCTCTTCCAGTTTCATAGATAGAATTGCTGCTTTTGAACTGACTTCCAAAATCTTATCCCTGGCACCAAGCTCCACTCCTGTATATCCAGTTTCTGCTTTACGTCTCTACCTAGATCTCCAATAGGCATCTCATATTTGACACGTTCTAATCACCCTCTTAATATAAACCCCTCAGTTCCTTTTAAAATCTTCCCATCTCATTAAATGGTACCACCATCTTTCCTGTTAGACTAAACTAAAATCATAGCCTTACCACTGGCTCTTCTCTTTTCTTTTTATCCCCTTAAATTTAATTTAGGTAGGCCCTGCCTATTATTTCTATCTATGAAATGCATCTCATAATATCCATTTATCTCTACCTCAGATGTTGCCATAAATATAAAGAATACATGGCTCCAGTAGTCAATCCTTAGGGCTTTCCAAGAAAGGAGTATAATATAAAGATATTTGAACACGTGTTAATAACATGTCTATTATTTGAACATGTGTTAATCCAAAGTGCCTTCAAAATGCATAACTCTGTCTTTCTAATTTAAATCTGCAACTTTTAAGAATAATCAGAATTTTTAAGTTTACAATATGCATATAGCAATAAATAAAATTTAAAATATGCTTTTGATAGAAAATATCTCTTTATATTTGAAGTTAGAACTTAATATATCTCATTTACTTCTTCCTCTTCTTCCTCTTGTATCCCCATGCCCCTAACTCTTAGACAGCCCAAGAAACCGTATTTGGGGACATTACTATGTAATCTCTTCATGTTTTAAAGGAACAAATTGCTAACACATAATTTTTTGGTGTAGGATCTAGCAAATATATCTTTCCCCTTATGTTAATCTTCTGATTCTCCTATTGTCACCTCACTTGCTGAGCAGGCTTGTAAATTTTTGTTTATTTTGCTTAAATCCCATAAGCCCTACACAACCTTCCTGGAGGCTAATATAGTACAGACCACACACTGATATGCTGGAAATAATGCCACCCTCTGGGTATCTTCTGTTCATGTATGTAGATTATGGACTTCAGCAGTTGGCTTTCCCTGCTCTCTAGGGGAGACTCTCCAAAGTGTTTCTGCTGTGGCTCTTCTCCAATATTTTAAGAGGACTAAAATCTTACTTTGCTTTCTCCCTTTACCATCTTTCTCTTCCCAGATTTTACTAACCAATAACTTTTTATCTTGCCCTCCAGCTTCCAAGAGGACTCTAGTTTCCTCAGATATCTCTTCAAGTATCTCCTGCCAATCAGAATTCGATGCTGTCCTACTCCATAGTATTTTCTGCTGCAGTTTTGTTAAACATATTTGCCTTAGTTATTCTCTCAAGATCTCCTTTGAAATCCTTCTTGTCCTACTGTCATTCTGTCTCACTTTGTTTCCCAATTAAGTTTTTCTCCTATCTTATATTTCCACTTCTGCTATAGCGTCTTTATTTTTACCACTATCAAAGTCACAATATCTGTTAGCCACTCCTTTTCTGACCTTTGCTTTTTTCCTGATATTCTTTAGTTTTGGCATATTCAGAAGAATTACTAAAATAATCTCAAGAGTCTTGGCCTCCTTTTTCATATTATGTATTCTTCAAAGTTGAGTCTATTTCTTTTTGCCCAATATGAAGCTTACAGCAAATTTATTATTAACAAGGAATTTAATTATCTCAAACCTGTATCTTGTGTTCAATCCAGCTGAGTTTCTAATCTGTGTTCCCTGGCTGAACAACTCTTTTCAGCCTCCTGTGACAAATCTTCACTGTGATTCTCCCCTTGAAGGCATCACCAGCAGCCCTCCTATTCTTTTAGAGACTAAACAAGTTCTTTCATGGCTACTTTTAAGCTCCTCCCTAAGTTAATCCTTAAAAAACACAAAATATCTAAACCAACAGGATTAGTTTGCTTTACTTTTCCTTCTTCTTCTGTTTCTCTTTTCCACACTAACTCAGCTTCTTAGTATGGTCCCTCTTTTTCAAAGTCCACATTTGCATTTGGCCTAGACATGGACAGTGGGCTTGGTCTGAGCTCAGGAATACCACTGAGAGGTCATCTCAGGTAAACTTCGCCCACTGTGGCTCTCCCAGAAAGAGTCTTTCCTTCTCCACAAGGATCACAATAGCCTGAGCACATACTATTCTGTTGCTTTCCCTTGACTCCTCCAACGCCTGACCTACCTGAGTCATTTGCCTTCGATTGAAAGATTGAAGCACTAAAAATTGTTTTAGGAGTTCTGGCTCTTTTCTCTGGATTTCATCTCTAAATTAAATCTGTGTTGCTGTCCTCATTCTTTGTTCTTCTTTTACTTCTTATCCCAGGAGCCGTCATGCTGCCTCATCAGAAATACAAGCCTCTAATGCAGGTAAAAGAAGATCTACAAGCTAAATTTAGCAGTAACTGTATTTCAACTTATAATGGCTCTAGCATATGTAATGACTTCTAACCTGAAAATTATAGGGGTCTGCTGTGATCCAGCCAGGCATGGCAGTACAATCAAAGAAACAGTAAAACAAAATTAAATACAATTTACTTCAAATCTTCACTCATCTCTTTAGAAACCCCACAAGACATAGTAAAATATCTTTAAAATCCTTTTTAGCTATCACTGCCACTCATATTCTCCAAACAGATGGAGATACTTACAAAAACTCAACCCACATGGCTCTTCTCACTTGCCATATGTTCTCTCTGTCATGTCAGTGGCTAAAGGCACTCCTTCTTTAGTTCATCAGTGCACCAACCTTTGCTACACAGTGGTTTTCTATTTTCCTTCCTGCATGCTTATGCCATCACTCCATCCACACCATGCCCCACTTGGAAGCCCAAATTCTCTATTCTTGAGACACCTCACTGTGCAGAAGAAAGAGGTGTAGTGTAATATATTGCCCTCACAAGAATCAGCACATCACCCAAACTGTAAACAAACAAAAAAAGAAGGCCTATGAACTGACCTATCCATGAAGGATGGAATCCTCCCTCCTTTGAAGGGAGCAAAAGAGTGAGAAAGCATATATGAATATGGTAAATACTTATACTTTCTTTTGAAAAAGTTCAAATCCACATATGCATAAAAAAGAGCTGGAAGGAATATTTTCTGACTCTATTTCTACCTTTCTGATGTGTACATAAATGTCTAGAGTTAATATCAATCTTAAGTCTAGTATATACAGAACACTTCCAGAATGCAATAGTAAAAAGAAAACTGGTATAAGACTTAGAAAACCTGGAATTAAATATCTTCACTGCCACTGGCATTTAACAAGTCACTTGCTGTCTTAGTGTGGGTTCCCCAGAAACAAATTCTAATTCAAATATTTCAGTATAAGTAGTTGACTTGGAAGGTGATTCCAAGAACACCAGTATTTCAATAGAAAAATGGAACAGAAAAAGGAAAAAAGTTAATAATAAATGTATTATGAATTATCACCATGGGCAACTGGAGATTGATTTTGCTAGAGAACTTGGGATATGGTATAGAAGATACGTCACCAAGTTATTCCACTCCAAGATGAGGAAGCTATGTATTTACATAGCAACCCCTATCAAGTGTTGGTTGAGAGCATGTGTGTGTGTGTGTGTCTGTGTGTGTGTTTGTGTGTGTGTGCATGGTGGAGGGTGGAGATTAATTCTAGCCTGCCTTTAGAACAGACAGAGAAGGATCTGTTGATCAGAGTGAGCACTCAGAGTCACAAGTCCTATCAGTCGGAAGAGGTGTCAAGATACAGGAAAATAGTAAATACACCGATTCCACAGGTAGGGCACTTGCATGTCTTGCTACTTCCTCCCCTTGCGCAACTCAGATTTACTCATAACTTGTATGAAGGTCATTCAATCCCATCACTGATTCACAATTTCTTTTGTAAAATTATATTAGGAATATTGGTGGAATAAACTACAGCACTTACAGTTTCAGTTGATCCTGAAGCCATAACTGGTATGCACTGTCTCCTTTTATCATCCCCGTGCTAGCTTTTTTGCAAAAGAATCCTCAACTAGTGATTCAGCTTCTCTAGGTTGCTATCCTGGTAGGGTGACTCAGACTCTCATCCTTGAAGGGTCTGAGCGCCTAGTTACTGTACTCTTGTCAGATGTGGCTGCTGCAGTGCCCATTCAGTTATCGTCATGAGGAGAAAGGCCATTTCTCTTACTGTCTCCTGTCACTGAAGAGAAGGAGGAATTAAAAGCTGAAAAACAACAGGAATGAAGTCAGCGGCAAGACCCACCAACGCCACTGACCAGGCATGAGGTTAAAAGATTAACCCCACCCCAACTCTAACCTCATGTGCTATCTATAGATCTCAATCTATCACAACCCTTTCACGTGGACCCTTTAGTGTTGTAAGCCCTTAAAAGGGCCAGGAACTCTTTCTTCGGATAGCTAAGTTCTTGAGACGCAAGTCTGACGACGCTACCAGCCAAATAAAGCCTCTTCCTTCTTTAACCCGGTGTCTGAGGGGTTTTGTCTGTGGCTCATCATGCTCCATTTCTTGGTTCCCTGACTGGGAATTGAGGTGATTAACAGACGGTTAAGGCAGCCCCTTAGGCGGCTTAGCCCTGCCCTGTGGAGCATCTGGCCAGCTTGAACGACACAGAGCCTGACTCCCAGGTAGGCATTTGCCCTGGTAGAACGCCTCATCAGAGCTGTGCATGGCAGGCCCCCACAGAGGATCAACACAGCAGCTGAACACCGGGAAGGAACTGGCGCTTGGAATCTGGACATCTGGTACTGTAGGACCGGTCTTTGGAACTTGCCCACTCCATTTGAGTGGAAGCATGGCCTGATCATCCACAGTGTGCCCTTATTGGCACTTTGGTCTCAGTATTGATTTTGATTTGGCTTGACTTGTTTGCAAAAAGAAAAGTGAAAGTGAGTGCTTGAGTTTGAGAGGGGCAAGGTGAGTGAGTGACCCCTTTACCCTTTCCTTCTTGTGGTGTGAGTTTTGTTTTGTCTTGGGAGGAAGATGGGTGGAACACAAAGTAAGCCAACTCTGCTAGGAACTATGTTGAAAAAATTCAAGAAAGGATTTAATGGAGACTATGGAGTTACTATGACACCAAGTAAACTTAGAACTTTGTGTGGGATAGACTGGCCAACATTAGAAGTGGGTTGGCCATCAGTAGGAAGCCTAGAAAGGTCCATTGTTTCAAAGGTATGGCACAAGGTAACTGGTGAGCCAGGACACCCAGACCAGTTTCCATACATAGACACTTGGTTTCAGATGGTTTTAGACCCCCCACAGTAGTTAATAGGACAGGCAGCAGTAGTACTAGTGGCAAAGGGACAGACAGCCAAGGAAGAATCCCGCTCCACCTGCCGAGGGGGATTGGCTCCTAAAGTCCTGTCAGACCCAACATCACAGGATTCATGGCAAGAAATGGCACCAGTGCCCCCCACCCTTTCACCAGGGAGGAAGGCCTCCCACTCCTGAGCCCACTGCGCCCGAGCTTCCACAAGGCCTACATACCCCTAGGCCACCCAGAGTAGAAAAGGAAGGATCTGAGACCTTGGGAGAAACCCTTCCCTTGGCAGCCTGTTTGAGGCCTAGAACTGGGATACAAATGCCCTTAAGAGAGCAATGGTATACTGGGATAGATGAGGACGGGCACATGGTAGAAAGGTGTGCCTTTGTGTACCAACCCGTCACCTCTGCCAATCTCCTCATTTGGAAAAACAATACCCCATCCTATACCAAAAAGCCTCAAGCTATAATTGATTTGCTCCAAACTATTATCCAGACCCATAACCCCAACTGGACTGATTGCCACCAGTTGTTCATGTACCTCTTTAACACAGATGAAAGGAGGAGAGTGCTCCAAGCAGCAACTTGGAAGAAAATGTTCCAGCTGATTACCAAAACCCACAAGAGTATGTGAGGATACAATTACCAGGAACAGACTCCCTGTGGGACCCAAATGAAGACAGGGTATGCAAAGGCTAAACCGGTACAGGGAAGCCCTTCTGGAAGGGTTAAAGAAGGGAGCTCAGAAGTCCACAAATGTTAACAAAGTCTCTGAGGTCATTCAAGGGAAAGATGAGAGCCCAGCACAATTCTACGAGAGACTATGTGAGGCCTATCGTATGTATACTACCTTTGATCCTGATAGCCCTGAAAATCAGCACATGATTAACATGGCTTTAGTTAGTCAAAGTGCAGAAGACATTAGAAGAAAATTGCAGAAACAGGCTGGGTTTGCAGGCATGAATACTTCACAGTTATTGGAGATAGCCAACAAGGTGTTTGTGAATAGAGATGCAGTAAGCCACAGAGAGAATTGCAGAGAGAGTGAATGCCAAGCCTGGTGAAATGCCGACCTGCTAGCTGCAGCTATGAGAGCGGTCCCCCTGAGGGGTGAGAGAAGGGGGGCCCCAGGAAACATACCCAGTCTGGCTGTCCACGCTTGCAGTGTAAGCAGTGTGCTTACTGTAAGGAAATAGGACATTGGAAGGACAAGTGCCCCCAGTTGAAAGGGAAACAAGGCAACTCTGAGCAGGAGGCCTCAGAGAAGGACGAAGGGGCCTTGTTCAATCTGGCAGAAGGGTTACTGGACTGAGGGAGACCAGGCTCATGTGTCCCCAAGAGCCCATGGTCAGGATGACAGTTGGGGGCAAGGACATTGAGTTTCTTGTCAATACTGGTGCTGAACATTCAGTAGTAACCACCCCAGTCACCCCCTTATCCAAAAAGACAATAGATATAATCAGAGCCACAGGGGTTTCAGCAAAGCAAGCTTTCTGTTTGCCCTGGACCTGCACTGTGGGGGGACATGAAGTGATTCACCAGTTCCTGTACATGCCTGACTGCCCCTTGCCTTTGCTAGGAAGGGACCTACTTAGCAAGCTGACAGCCACCATCTCTTTTACAAAGCACAGCTCTTTACAGCTAAAGCTACTTGGAACGGGAGTCATCATGGCCCTTATGGTTCCTCAGGAGGAGGAATGGGGACTCTTCTTAACTGGGCCAGGCCAAGAGATAGGATCAGCTCTGACTAAGCGGTGGCCAAAGGTGTGGGCAGAAGACAATCCTCCAGGGTTGGCAATCTACCAGGCCCCCGCACTCATAGAAGTTAAGCCTGGGGCCCAGCCAGACAGACAAAAACAGTGCCTGGTCCCCAGAGAAACTCTTGAAGGTATCCAGGTCCATCTCAAGCAGCTGAGGTCCTTTGGAATTATAGTCCCTTGTCAGTCTCCATGGAACACTCCCCTCCTGCCTGTTCCCAAGCCAAGGACTACAGGCCAGTACAGGATTTGCGCTTGTTCAACCAAGCTACAGCTGAGGATAGCTGGTTCACCTGACTGGTTCACCTGGTTCATCCTTCAGGGATGCTTTCTTTAGCATCACACTAGCCCCTGAGAGCCAGAAACTGTTTGCCTTTCAGTGGGAGGATCCGGGGTCAGATGTCACTACTCAGTACACTTGGACCCAGCTTTCCCAAGGGTTCAAGAACTCCCCCCACTATCTTCAGGGAAGCACTGGCTCGAGACCTCCAAAAGTTTCCCACCAGAGACCTAGGTTGCATGTTGCTCCAGTACATTGACAACCTCCTGCTGGGACACCCCACAGCAGTCGGGTGCACCAAGGGAACGGATACCCTGCTCCACCACCTGGAGGAATGTTGGTAAAAGGTGTCCAAGAAGAAAGCTCAGATCTGCAGACAGCAAGTATGTTACCTGGGATTTACTATCCAACAGGCGGAGCACAACTTGGGATCAGAAAGAAAGCAGGTCATTTGCAACCTATCAGAGCCTAAGACCAAAAGGCAGGTGAGAGAATTCTTAGGAGCTGTGGGGTTCTGCAGGTTATGGATCCTAAACTTTGCAGTACTAGCCAAGCCCCTGTATGGAGTCACAAAGGGGGGTGACAAGGAACATTTGGAATGGGGGTCCCAACAGCAATGAGCTTTTCATGAGTTAAAAGAGAAACTCATGTCGGCCCCAGCCCTGGGGCTGCCTGACCTGACAAAGCCATTTACACTATATGTGTCAGAGAGAGAAAAGATGGCAGTTGGAGTTTTGACCCAGAACACGGGGCCCTGGTCAAGGTCGGTGGCCTACCTCTCTAAACAACTAGATGGGGTTTCTAAAGGTTGGCCCCCATATTTGAGGGCCTTGGCAGAAACTGCCCTGTTAGCATAAGAAGCAGATAAGCTGACTCTTGGGCAAAATCTGAACATAAAGGCCCCCCATGCTGTGGTGACTTTAATGAATACCAAAGGACATCATTGGCTAACGAATGCTAGACTAACTAGGTACCAAAGCTTGCTCTGTGAAAATCCCTGCATAACCATTGATGTTTGCAACACCTTGAACCCTGCCACCTTACTCGCGGTATTAGAGAGCCCAGTTGAACATAACTGTGTAGAGGTGTTGGACTCAGTTTATTCTAGCAGGCCCAACCTCTGAGACCATCCTTGGACATCAGTAGACTGGGAGCTGTACGTGGACAGGAGCAGCTTGGTCAACCCACAAGAAGAGACGTGTGCAGGATATGCAGTGGTAACCCTGGACACTGTCACTGAAGTCAAATCATTGCCCCAGGGTACTTCAGCCCAGAAGGCTGAACTCATTGCTTTAATTTGGGCCTTAGAGCTAAATGAAGGTAAGACTGTAAACATTTACCCTGACTCTTGGTATGCCTTCTTAACCCTCCAAGTGCATGGGGTGTTATATAAAGAAAAAGGCCTGTTGAACTCTGGGGGAAAAGAGATAAAACATCATTGAGAGATCCTGCAATTGTTAGAGGCAGTGTGGAAGCCCCCAAAAGGTGGCAGTCACGCACTGCAGAGAACACCAGCGAGCTTCCACCTCGATTGCCTTGGGGAACTCCCGAGCTGACTCAGAGGCTCAAAAGCAGCATCCACCCCCTACCGGGCATCAGTCACTGACCCCTGCTCCCTCAGGCACCTGACCTTGTACCTACTTATTCTAAAGAAGAGAAGGACTTTCTCCAGGCAGAGGGAGGGCCAGGTGATAGAAGAGGGATGGATCCGGTTATCAGATGGAAGAATAGCCGTGTCACAACTGCTGGGCACCGCAGTCGTATTGGCTGTGCATGAGACCACCTATCTAGGCCAAGAGTCATTTGAAAAGTTGTTAAACCAGTACTTCTACATCTCGCATCTGTCAGCCCTTGCCGAAACAGTGGCGCAGCAGTGTGTCACCTGCTGGCAGCACAATACTAGGTAAGGTCCAACCGTCTTGCCCGGCATACAAGCTTATGGGGCAGCCCCCTTTGAAGATCTCCAAGTAGACTTCACTGAGATGCCCAAATATGGAGTTAACAAGTATTTGCCAGTTCTAGTGTGTACATAATCTGGGTAGGTGAAGGCCTATCCTTTACGAACTGAGAAAGCTCATGAAGTAACCCGTGTGCTTCTCCGAGATCTCATCCCTAGGTTTGGACTGATCTTACAAATCGGCTCAGATGACAGGCTGGCATTTGTGGCTGATTTGGTACAGAAGACAGCAAAGGTATTGGGGCTCACATGGAAAATAAATACCGCTTACTGACCACAGAGTTCTGGAAAAGAAGAGTGGATGAATCGGACTATCAAAAATAGTTTAGGGAAAGTGTGTCAAGAAACAGGATTAAAGTGGGTACAAGCTCTCCCTATGGTATTAAGATTAGATGTACCCCTTCTAAAAGGACAGGATATTCCCTTTATGAAATATTATATCATAGGCCCCCTCCCATACCACGAGGACTCCCAGGCACTTCTCAAGAGCTAGGTGAAATTGAGTTACAGCGACAGATACAGGCTTTAGGGAAAATTACACAAACAATTTCAGCCTGGGTAAATGAGAGGTGTCCCATCAGCTTATTCTCCCCAGTTCACCCTTTCTCCCCAGGTGAACGGGTGTGGATCAAAGATTGGAACGTAGCCCCCTTGCGGCCGTGGTGGAAAGGACCCCAGACTGTTGTCTTGACCACTCCCACAGCTGTAAAGGTAGAGGGAATCCCAGCCTGGATCCACCACAGCCGCATAAAACCTGCAGCACCTGAGACCTGGGAGGTGAGACCAAGCCTGGACAACCCCTGCAAAGTGACTTTGAAGAAGACGACAAGCCCTACTCTCGTCACACCCAGAAGCTGACTGGTCCACACACAGCCAAAGCATGAGGAAACTCATCGTGGGACTTATTTTCCTTAAATTTTGGATTTGTACAGTAAGGACTTCAACTGACCTTCCTCAGACTGAGGACTATTCCCAGTGTATACATCAAGTTACTGAGGTAGGGCAAAAAGTTAAAACAGTCTTTCTGTTTTATAGTTATTATGAACATACTAGAACTCTAAAAGGGACTTGTTTGTATAATGCCACCCAGTATAAGGTATGCAGGCCAGGAAGCGACCAGCCTGATGTGTGCTATAACCCATCTGAGCCCCCATGAGTACAGTTTTTGAAATAAGATTGAGGACTGGCAACCGGGGAAATGCTGATGTGAGTAAAGTAATAACTAGAACAGAAGAAAAAGGAGTCCCCAAACAAATTATCTTAAAATTTGATGCCTGTGCAGCAATCAACAGTGACCTGTATGGAAATAAATAAGATGCAGCTCTCTAGATTGGGAAAGGGCTATATAGCATAAAATAAGTATGTTTGTCATGAATTAGGACTGTGTAGTGAAGATGAGAGTGAGAACTAGCACTAGCGAGTGAGATTCTCAAAGAGGGGAATGAGGAGCGAGGCCATTTCTCTTACTGTCTCCTGTCTCTGAAGAGAAGGAGGAATTAAAAGCTGAAAAACAACAGGAATGAAGTTGTTTTCATTCCTGAAATGACCAACCGGCACCACCAACCAGGCCTGAGGTTAAAAGATTAACCCCCGACTCTAACCACATGTGCTATCTATAGATCTCAATCTGTCACAACCCTTTCACGTGGATCCCTTAGAGTCATAAGCCCTTAAAAGGGACAGGAATTCTTTCTTTGGAGACCTCAGTTCTTGAGACACAAGTCTGCTGACACTCCTGGCCAAAGAAAGCCTCTTCCTTTTTTAACTCGGTGTCTGAGGAGTTTTGTCTGTGGCTCGCCCTGCTACAATCAGGCATGGGAGAACTAAAAGCATCTCACTGAATACTCTAAGCTCTATCCATACTCTTTCTTGCCCTCATTTGTAACAGAAATCCTAGCTCCTCTTGACAACCAGGGTCAATTATCCTGCCAATGTGGTAACTTCTTTCTTTGCTTGCTTGGCCACTATTGTGAGAAGCACAAAATGATCAGGTGGTAGCCATAGCCAAAGCTTAGTGGAACATTTACCATGTCCATTGGTAGAAGCCTTACTTTTTGTTCTTAGTAACCAAGACCTCTAATCCATGGTTTAAAGTTGTGGGAACAGTAATCACAAATTTGTCAATTAGACTGATAGTGAGATGAGCCATGCCAACTTCCACTCTTTGGTTCCTTTTCTATCAGGAGACACTGCATCATAATAATGGCAATCAATTTAAAGAATATAACATCTTTTGAAAGCAGAGGCCCCTTCCCCTAGAGCTAGAAGCTGGCTTTTTAGCATCCCCATCTATTACCATATATAAAAATCAATGCAAAAATGGGTTAAAGACTTAAATGTAAGACCTGAAACTATGAAACTATCGAAAGAAAATGTTAAGAAATTGCTACTGGACATTGCTCTGGGCAAATATTTTTTGGGTAAGACCTCAAAAGCATAGGCAACAAAAGTGAAAATAGATAAATGGGATTGCATTAAGCTAAACAGCTTCTGCACAGCAAAGGAAACAAACAACGAAGTGAAGAGACAATCCACAGAATGGAAGAAAATATTTTTAAACTATCCATCTGACAAAGGATTAATAACCAGAATACATAAGGCACTCAAACATCTCAATAGCAAATAAATAATCTGATTAAAACATGGGCAAAAATATCTCAATTGACATTACTAAAAGGAGACATACGGGCTGGGCGTGGTGGCTCATGCCTGTAATCCCAGCACTTTGGGAGGCTGAGGTGGGCAGATCACCTGAGGTAGAGAGTTCAAGAGCAGCCTGGCCAAAATGGTGAAACCCTGTCTCTACTAAAAATAAAAAATAAAATTAGCTGGGCATGCTGGTGGGCACCTGTAGTCCCAGCTACTTGGGAGACTGAGGCATGAGAATTGCTTGAACCTGGGATGCTGAGGTTGCAGTGAGCCGAGATGGTGTCACTGCACTCCAGCCTGGGTGACACAGTGAGACTCCATCTCAAAAAAAAAAAATTTAAAAAAAAGAAGAACAAGACATACAAATGGCTGATATATGAAAAATGCTCAGCCAGGCATGGTGGCTCATGCCTGTAATCCCAGAACTTGGGAGGCCAAGGTGGGTGGATCACCTAAGGTCTGGAGTTCGAGACCAGCCTGGCCAACATGGTGAAACCCCATCTCTTCTAAAAACACAAAAAATTAGCCAGGTATGGTGAAGGGCGCCTGTAATCCCAGCTACTTGGGAGCCTGAGGCAGGAAAATCA
Source organism: Homo sapiens (assembly GCF_000001405.40). Classification (NCBI taxonomy): domain Eukaryota; kingdom Metazoa; phylum Chordata; class Mammalia; order Primates; family Hominidae; genus Homo; species Homo sapiens. The sequence continues at coordinate 101,223,359 of NC_000006.12, read as the reverse complement.
CTTGAACCTGTGGGGTGGAGGTTGCAATGAGCCGAGATCATGCCATTGCACTCTAGCCTAGGCAACAAGGGCAAAACTCCATCTCAAAAAAGAAAAAAGAAAAGAAAAATGCTCAACAGCACTAATCATCAAAGATATGCAGATCAAAACCACAATGACATATCATTTCACCCCAGTTAAACTGGCTTTTATCAAAAACACAAAGAATAACAAATGTTGACAAAGATGCAGTTATATTCCCACCAACACTCATACACTGTTGGTGGGAATGTAAGTAGTACAGCTGTTACTGAAAAAGGTATGGAGGCTCCTCAAAAAACTAAAAATAGGACTAACACATGATCCAACAATCCCATTGCTGGGTATACATCCAAAAACATAAAGGAAATCAATATACGGAAGAGATATCTCTACTCCAATGTATATTCCAGCACTATTCACAATAGACAAGATATGGGACCAATCTAAGGACCTATCAATGGATAAATGGATAAAGAAAATGTGGCATATATACAATGGAATACTATTTGGCCATAAAAAAAGTATGAAATCCTGTCCTTTGGAGCCACATGGATGGAATTTAGGTCATTATGTTAAGTGACATAAATCAGGCACAGAAAGACAGATATTACATATTCTCACTCATATGTGGGAGCTAAAAAAAAATGGTTCTCCTAGAGGTAGAGAGTAGAATGCTGGTTACCATAGGATGGGAAGGGAAGCAGGAGGGGGAGGGAGGAATTAGGAGCTGGTTACTCAGTACAAAAATGGTTAGATAGAAGGAATAAGTTCTAGTACTTGATACTACATTAGGGAAATTTTAGTCAACAATAATTTATTGTAGATTTCAAAACAGCAAGAAAAGAATTGTAATGTCCCCAACATACCTTTAAAAAAATGAATGTTTGAGGTGATGGATATCCCAATTACCCTGATTTGACATTACATATTGTATACATGAGTAAAAATATCACAAGTACCCCAAAAATATGCACAACTGGGATATATAAATAAAACACACACAAAAGAAATAGGTAGCACTTCATCAAGCCAGCAGCTTCTGGGTCATGCATGTAAAGGTAGAGCTAATGGCCCTGAGGTCATTTGTCTGCTGTTGAACCTCCATTCTTGTAAGTACATCCCTTAGTGAAGCAATATCTTGTGGAATTCCATTAGGATAAATCAAACACTTTGTGGGCCCTCTGATTGTGGCACTGGAAAAGCAAAAGGTCACATTTACTGGCAGTTTGAAAGCAAGCCAGCATGCACAGAAATGATAAATGCAGAAAGAGTATGGCTGGAGCACTGACAGTATCTTCTATACTCCCTGAATCTTGTTTCCTCATCTATAAATTGGATCCAATAATAATGCACTTTAAAGAATTTGTATGGAAATCTGCTTTTGAAGTATTATAGAAATTTAAGCTGTAAATATTCAGTTTTGTGATAGAAGCTACAAAAGAAATAAATATCATCACCCGACCCTCCAGAAAGTGAGAACCTATTACGAAATTTCTTTTACATTCTATTTCATACTTTGCTATTTCTGGTTAATATGTGACTTTAAATCTCAGATATAAAAATTAGGCAACTAAAAAGAAAAGTTGTCTTAAATTATAAATGCAAAATAAAAAATTAATGTTGAGTCCATTTTCAAAAAGATCATTACTATCAATAACACAAAAAAAGAAAACTATGAAAAATTCATTTTTAAAATAAAGTGTAATCAAATACTTGGGCAGTTTATTGGGGGGAGAGGAAAGCCATTTACCTGTCTATGATTGATTGACATTGTTATCTAATCTATCAAAATAATCATTTATTTTAGAAATATGATTACTGAAGGGTACCCTTCATTTCCAAGATCAATAAAATCAATCCTTAGACTTTAAATTCTATTTCAAAATTTTCTTAATTAATTTAAATGCCCCAGCGGTATTTTCTTCCTTTGAGGATCAGCTCAAATTATTTTCTATTCAGTAAGTACATATCCATTTTTGTAAAGATCTAGTTTCTTTTAAGTTATATTAATTTTGTGCACTTTATAGGCAAAAATGATACCCTAGCCTTAGGAACATGAGGCTACTTTGTGAAATGCAAGAGCTAGACAAGTAGAAAAAAAGGTCTACTAGGAAAGAAAGGGTATTATGCTGACACTTTAAGGAAGCAGAAAAGAAGTTTATCTGCACAGAGAGAGGTGGATTTTTGTTGTTGTTGTGTGGGTTTTTTGTTTGTTTGGTTTTTTTTTTTTGCCAAGAAGGTGCTTTTATAAGAGAAAGAACGGATTTGACCTAGTTGGTCCTAACAGTAATGTTCATGAGCAAGATAATCCTGGGGAGACAGAAAGCATTCTCTCAGAAGAATGAGAGTGTCAATTGACTGTCAGGTGGGATATCAATTACCTCTTCGAATATATTGTTATTTTCCAATGCAGACAGTTTCCGTTTTTATAAATTTTATCTATTTGCCTATTATTTTGTTTTAATTGTAAATTATAATTGCTTTAACCAAAAATACATATCTTGTTATAAGTAAACATTGATAACCTTTATGATGCCATGTAAAATCTGTTTGCACATTCCTGAAGCTGTCTAGATATTCACTCACAATTAAGAAATGTTCAGTATATCTTCTTATTCAGTGCCAGTAACATAAGAGTGAGCACAAAATCTTAGCTGCATCTGAGAAGTGGAGTTGGAACTACCTCAAGCCTCAAAACAATAAGAAAAATAATGGGCAATACTTGTTAAAAAAAACAAAAACAAAAAAACAGGGTGAGATTCTTCACGTCCTTTACAAAGGGCAAAGATGAAAAGAAAGAAGTCATTAGTGACAACAAATGCTCGTCACAAGACTTAGGGCTTGACAAACCAGGACTTATGACTACACCAACATTCAAGATTAATGTTCTTTTTGGTTCACCTGGAGAACTCTAGACATGATTAAAAGTTTGTCTCTCAACCACATCCTCTCTTATATATGTTCTTCCCACAAACAAATGTTTTCATCAGCATTGGAGAAGGCTATACCCATAATCTCATTCCCACACTCAGGAAAATTATATTTAATATTGTGAAGAAGACTGATGTTGTGTATTTTACCACCTGCAGAGCTAGTTAAAATTACATATATATGTGTAATTTTAACAAAGGAAACTATATATGTGTATATATATATACATATACAGCTTATATATACAAAAAGTTTTTAATTTCTTGACTAGTTATGTTTTCTTCTACCAGCATAAAAGTATTTCTCATGTAATATTTGGATCTAAAGTTACAAAGGAAATAATATTTTGGGCAACACCTGAGGGAAAAGAGTTTATTCTTTTTTATTACAATGTACAAATGCAGAGATTTATTTTCTTTACACTTTTATACTTGTATGGCATTTTAAATGGTGCTTTTCATACTATGAAAAAATATTTATCTCAAAGTATTTAGGGATAGAAGCAATACTAGACATTGAGAAATGCAGAGGTGGGAAGAAAAAATAGGAAGAGAAAAAATGTATATGATTGCTGGGATAGCAATGATTTTTAACTAGAAGGTAATAATTAGATTCAAATTTCTAAACCCCTGGTCTTATACTTTATAGTAACATGAATTTATAGGAAATTTAAATAGGCAGAAATCATATTAATTTCTATCTAAATGAAAAAACCAGATCAAATGTTCTGTCAAAAATGGATCTTTGATTCAATTTGAAAATTTTAATCTAACCACCAGTTGCATTATACGAACTGAAACACTTTTGTTTTGTTGAACGAAGAATATAAAAAATTAAAAGACATAGTTTCTGAATTTATGATATGGATAATTATTATTTTATGTACTTGGTCTATTACATTTAACCACATAAGAATTTATACTTGATTTATTTAACTGAATAGATATTCAACTAAACTAATCACCATACCACAGTTCTAAATATTAAATAAAAACAGATACAAGACAAAGTTTATATTCCCTATTTACTTCAAACACTTGGATTTTCAAAAACAGTAAATTGCAAAGAAAATTCAATGAACGAAATATGCCACCTTTATATAATATTGCTATTAAATACCTGTTACAGTTAACTTATACATTTACAACAATCTGACTTAAAACACTTTAACTAACTAATGTATACTGAAGATCTTTAACAAAAAACCTGTGATTCCAGTATAAATTCAAATATATAAAACTATTCTAATAAGTAATTGTATTTAACAGTATGAATGTACTCTGAATATTTTAAGTTCTCCTGAACTGACTTCATAACCTGAAAAATAATGGGGGAAAAGATGAAAAAGTAACATATTAAATGCTTGCTCTGTGTTTGTCTCTGTTTTCAGTGCATTGCAAATATCATCTTAAATGCCAGTTGTCCTCCTTTCTATACTCTAAATGAAGGTTGGCATTTTCTTTTCCATAAAGGGCTAAATAGTAAATATCTTAGACTTTGCAGGGCTCTGTCTCAGTTGCTAACTCTGTTGCTGTAACATAAAAGTAGCTATGTACGTTACATAAAAGGATGAAGTATCTGTGTTCAAATAAAATTTTATTTATTAAGACTGAAGTTGGAGTTTTATATATATTTGTGTGTCAAAAATATCATTATTCCTTTGATTTTTTAAAACTATTTTAAAATGTAAATATTATTCTTATCTTGACAGCTGTACACAGACAGGTGTCAGACTGGAATTGACCCACCAGCTAGAGTTTGCCAACCTCTGCTCTAAATTTATGTCAATATAATCCATATTTTAATAAATTAAAGTATTGGCATTTTACAAAATTAAATTGAAGTGATGGTTTAATGAAGTTTTTTTTTTTATTTTTCTCTATGTCACTACAGATTACATTAGCTTATGAATTGACTTGTTAGTCCCCAAATCTCATAAATTTGGGCAGAAATTTATAACTAAAATCAAGAGAATTTTTTACAATACTAAAAACTGTTATTAATTTTAAAATTAAAATTTAAAAAGGTCATGCTTATTGCTTTACAATAAATGTTAAAGCTCTTTTTAAAAGATAAAATGTTATGGCCAGGCGCGGTGGCTCACACCTTTGAGGGGGCACCTTGGGAGGCCAAGGCGAGTGGATTGCTTGAGGCCAGGAGTTCCAGACCAGCCTGGGCAAAATGGCGAAACCCCATCTCTACTAAAAATACAAAAATCAGCCGGGTGTGGTGGCGCACATGTGTAATCCCAGCTACTAGGGAGACTAAGGCATGAGAATCGCTTGAACCCAGGAGGCAGAGATTTCAGTGAGTAGAAGTTGCACCAGTTCACTGAAGCTTGGGTGATAGAGTGAGAGTCTGTCCCAAAAAACAAAAAGAAAAAGAAAACGAAAAATTTAAAAGGTAGTTTGTACAGCAGTCAGAAAACTGTATTTCATAGTATATAGAAAGTATGTCTATTTAGACAAATTGTGACAGAAAAATATCAATTCAATATTCAATAAAAACTTGAACTAGTGAGAATTTCAGATGTTTCTGAAAAAATTCTCATAGTTCCTATGATGCCACCAAGTCTTGATTGTTTTCTTCTACATCCCTGATGACATTTTCAGTTTTCATTGCATAATCCTTATCTGACTACCAATGTCACTGTGCTCTGGGGTTTGGTTCTAGTAAGACATCTCTTCTAATCTTTCTACAAAGACACACAGATGAAAATTACATTTTTATAATCAGAGTAGACCACTCTCTTGAGATACACATTTCTATAGTCAACTTTTTACTTAATGTATCCAGGGGAACATTTAATAGATGCCTGTGGCAATGCATAGCCATTGACCAAAAATGAAAGCTTCTTTCCCAGTTCAGAGTTTCTTCTGGAAAGTGGCTACTCTTGCTGTGAGGGGATGATATTTCCCAGATTCTTTTGCATCTTATTTTATTTTTAAATTTGACAGATAAAATTGTATGTATTTATCATGTACAACGTGATGTTTTGAAGTATATATACATTGTAGAATGACTAAATCTCACTACTGTTATATGCATTATCTCACCATTATCAGTTCTGTGGTGAGAACATTTAACATCCACTTTCAGCATTTTTCAAGAACACAATATATTGTTGTTAACTATAGTCAACATGTTACACAATAAGATCTCTTGAACTTATTCCTTCTCTCTAATGGGAATTTTATATTCTTTGGCCAACATTTCCACAAACTCCCCTAACCCTCTACCTCACTGCCTTGTAAGACATTATGTAAAGTGAACTAATACAGGCACAGAAAGACAAATACTGCCTGTCTTACTCATATGTAGAATATTAAAAAGTTGATCTCTTAAAAGTAGAGAGTAAAATGATGGTTACCCTTTTGCATCTTGGTGGGACCATATGACTGATTTTCCCCCAACAAAATATAAATGGAATATATATGTGTCATTCTGCTCCAAGAATAAGAAGCAAGTGTGCATTCTCCATATTGTCTTTCCTCTTCTACCTGCTTGATTCAGAGGGCTTTGTTCCCTCAGTGCCTGGGGAAACTCAGGGGAGAAAGAACTTGAATCCTTGAATCAATATATTGACAAAAGCCAGCCGCTAATCAGGAAACCAAACTTCTATTTCGGTAAACCACTGAAATTTGGGGTTTAGTTGCTATGGCAGCTAACATTAGCCTAACAAATACATCTCAAATGTAACATGTCCAAAATACAACTCCATTCCCCCAACATATTTCACCCCCAATCATTCCCATCTGAATAAGTATAGCAACAACCACTGAGTTTCTCAAGGTCAAAACCTCAGTGTCGCCAATATGCATTTCTAAAATGTAAATCAGATTATGGCAATTCCCTGCTTAAAATCTTTCAATTGTTTGTCAGTGAAATCAGAAAAAAAAAACAAAACCCAGATTTCTTAGCACAGGCCCTCCCTGACTCTTCAACCTAGATTTGTGCCACAGATCCTCTTAGTACACTCCAGCCATATGGGTCTTCTTTCAGCTCCTCAAATGTACCAAACTCTTTCCCACCACAGGAACTCTGAGTATGATGTACTCTCTCCCTGGAATGCTCTTCCCACCGTACTTCTTTTGGTTAATTCAGACATAGCTCAAATGGCACCTCCTCAGAAGATCTTTCAACCTCACTATATAATTTGTGTCTCCTTTCTCTTTCTCGCCTTTTTTTTCCCTCTCTCTCATCACTATACTTTTTATAGAATTTATTATATTTATAAGTATATAAACATTTTTCTCTCTACTGATTCAATGCCTATCTCATTTACTAGGCAGAGCTTCCTACGTGGGTAGAAGGCGACCCAGGAAATACACCTGAAAATTTATTACTAAAACTTTAATTCATGTTTCCTTTTATCTTACCCTGTCATGATTTATTCTTGAATTAGTTTTTTAATGTGCTTCATATATTAGTAAAATAGTACATGCATGTTATTTATAGGTAAATATACATATATCAATGGTGCATTGTCAAATATTTCTCCTATTAGAGCCGTGCAATCAAACAAGTTTCTAAAACGTTGCACTAGACCAAAAACTCCACAATATGAGGGATAATGTCTGTCTTCGTACATGATTACCCCTAAGAAAATACTTGTTTAGTAAATAAATGAATAATAATCACCTCCAGTGTACTATCTTTAATAATTATTTGGAATTATTATATGTATACTAGAGTAACTAAAACTATATTTGTAAAAACAAATTATTCTAAACTTGCTTTAATTAATAGACAAAAATCAATTCATAAATAAAAGCATCTATTTGCATACAATGTTCTAAAGCCTTCTAAATTATGTTGACTCTTTTATAAAGGTTAAATATCTTCAACCATCTTCTTTAAACTATTCATCTATTCAGTTAAAACTTTCTTCAGGATAATGCAAAAGGAAATGTCACCCTTGGCAAGCAATCACAAATTCCAAATTATGTAGAATATGAATTAATGAGGTCTTATATCTTCAAACCAACAAAAATCACTTTATAATGTTTGAGGTCATTAGTTCTATTTTTTAAATGGTAAATTTGACTTTTAAGTAAATGTGTGCTCAATATTGATTCTCTGAGCCAAATGGTGCATCCATATCTTGGAATGTCTTAGAAAACATTAAAATAATCATTGCTAATAAATATTCATATCTTAATTATAATGAAAACATTTTTATAATTTTCGAATCATATAGTTGCTTTATTACTTTTTTTACTATAACCTCCTTCAGCATACTAGAAATGTAAAATCTTTTCCTGTTTTTAATATAACCTTTTTTATACAATAGATTTTGTTTAAATAAATTCCAATTTTCTGCCCCAAATTCCAATTTATTTCTTTTTCTACTTCTCATTCAGATGCAAGAACCCACCTTCCAGTACCATGCTGTTTTGGGTACTGGTACCAAAACAGAGATATAGATCAATGGAACAGAACAGAGCCCTCAGAAGTAATGCCGCATATCTACAACTATCTGATCTTTGACAAACCTGAGAAAAACAAGCAATGGGGAAAGGATTCCCTGTTTAATAAATGGTGCTGGGAAAACTGGCTAGCCATATGTAGAAAGCTGAAACTGGATCCCTTCCTTACACCTTATACAAAAATCAATTCAAGATGCATTAAAGACTTAAACATTAGACCGAAAACCATAAAAACCCTAGAAGAAAACCTAGGCATTACCATTCAGGACATAGGCATGGGCAAGGACTTCATGTCTAAAACACCAAAAGAAATGGCAACAAAAGCCAAAATTGACAAATGGGATCTAATTAAACTAAAGAGCTTCTGCACAGCAAAAGAAACTACCATCAGAGTGAACAGGCAACCTATAAAATGGGAGAAAATTTTTGCAACCTACTCATCTGACAAAGGGCTAATATCCAGAATCTATGATGAACTCAAACAAATTTACAAGAAAAAAACAAACAACCCCATCAAAAAGTGGGTGAAGGACATGAACAGACACTTCTCAAAAGAAGACATTTATGCAGCCAAAAAACACATGAAAAAATGCTCGTCATCACTGGCCATCAGAGAAATGCAAATCAAAACCACAATGAGATACCATCTCACACCAGTTAGAATGGCAATCATTCAAAAGTCAGGAAACAACAGGTGCTGGAGAGGATGTGGAGAAATAGGAACACTTTTACACTGTTGGTGGGACTGTAAACTAGTTCAACCATTGTGGAAGTCAGTGTGGCGATTCCTCAGGGATCTAGAACTAGAAATACCATTTGACCCAGCCATCCCATTACTGGGTATATACCCAAATGACTATAAATCATGCTGCTGTAAAGACACACGCACACGTATGTTTATTGCGGCATTATTCACAAGAGCAAAGACTTGGAACCAACCCAAATGTCCAACAATGATAGACTGGATTAAGAAAATGTGGCACATATACACCATGGAATACTATGCAGCCATAAAAAGTGATGAGTTCATGTCCTTTGTAGGGACATGGCTGAAATGGGAAAACATCATTCTCAGTAAACTATCGCAAGAACAAAAAACCAAACACCACATATTCTCACTCATAGGTGGGAATTGAACAATGAGATCACATGGACACAGGAAGGGGAATATCACACTCTGGGGACTGTTGTGGGGTGGGGGGAGGGGGGAGGGATAGCATTGGGAGATATACCTAATGCTAGATGACGAGTTACTGGGTGCAGTGCACCAGCATGGCACATGTATACATATGTAACTAACCTGCACATTGTGCACATGTACCCTAAAACTTAAAGTATATCCAACTTCCTCCTGCTAGCAAGCTATTAGAATGAAGTGACAGAAAGTTTAGCAGGACTTGATCTCTGATATCTCCTAGTCAGTTTCTCTGCAGTCAAAATGGGAAGGATTAGTTAAGAAATGACGTTCAGTAGCTGGTAACAGTTGCTAACCTTCACACACAATTACTAGTATGATTTCCTCTTATTTCTTTATTTATTAGTCAGTATTTAATAAACACCTTTATGTGTCAAGTGTTATAAATTCAGGTGTGCGCACAACAGGCTTAAACCCTCCCATCATGGAGTTCATTTACAGTAAAAGAGAGAGGTTGTACACCTGTGAACAGATAGATGGGATATGTGAACAGATAGATGGGATATCATATTGCAAAATATGATAAATGCTAAAAATAAAAAGAACAGGTATTTTTGTTATGTTCTACCCACAAACTGATGATTTAATAAAAACCACCAGTCAAAATAGACAAAATTTTTTTAAAATTTCATTCTGGATATTGGTAGAGGCTGAGACCTTCCTGGTTAGAATTCAAACACTTCTGTACTGATTCAGTTTCAGTATTATAACCATATCATGCCATGATTTTCTTGCCTGATTTTATCTCCGTATTCTTGAATCTTTCATGGTTATTCTGTATTAAAAAAATTATGAAGGACAAGGTGGGGTGTGGCAGTTAGAGGAAGTCAGAACATCAATTTTTTACTGCATGTGTAAATAATAAAATGCTTACCACCATAAACACTTAGGAACACTGAGGAAAAGCAAAGGAAAAACAAAAGGCTGTTAAAATGCTGACAATGCAATGACAATTAGCTTGGGCACTTTATCTATCAATCGATCTATCAATCAGTCAACTATCTGTTCCTCAGGCAAATGCAGTCAAGCCAGATATCAAACTGAAATGATATCTCTTTCCAAGCACAGCCAAGCTGCGATGCCCAACAAAATATAACACGCTTCTAATGTATACACATTCCAGAATAAAAAAGCATTCTTAGTTGTATGTAACAGTACATTTAATATCAACTAAGGAACAGTTTATCTTCAGTTTCTGCTGTGGAATATACTAATGATCTTTTTTCTGAGCTTCCAGCACAATTATCAATTTAAACTTAAAAGACAAGTGAGAACAGTTTAATTATTACTATTAGTTCAGGAAATGCCATGTAGTAATTTACTGAGGTGAGGAAGCTCAGAAGGACATTCTGTGTAGAGAAACAGCATTAAGCATTATATTTTCTTCTTTCTTCTTCTTGCTTTTTTTTCTTTTCCTTTTCAATGAATATTTTTCTTGTTAAAATCACTATGGGCTTTATTTTATCCAAAACACAGAAAAGCAGAATATATCCTTATAGAAAAGGCTGGTATAGCAACAAATTATTTCTACATGCTTAACTTTCCCAAGGTGAGTCATATTTAGGTGCATTTTATTGTAATGATTGTTTGTGGGTTAATTAACATTATAAAATTATGCTGTTTTCTTATTTTTCTAGATAGATGTTAATCTCTAATTCAATTTTACGGTAGTTTAAACATCATTTTTACATGTATCTAGAAATGTCTGAATTTTAGAATTTTAGGACCGTTGCATTTCTTCTATCAAGTATTTTCTCTTCTTATCTTTTGTTGTTTTCATTCTGCTTGTTATTCATCTTTTGCTTATGATGTGGGAGAATAATTTTAAGTATTAAGAATTTTAAACCTCTGTCATGTGTTATTTTTATATATTATTAGACATTTTTCATTACTTAAGGACTAAAATACATTTTAGTTTCATGGCATCTCGGGTTTCAGTATTGTTAAGAAGACATTTTCTACCTCCACAAGGTAAAATTGTCATTTCATTCTAATGCTTTGTCAAAAAAAATCAGTTAGTACTTTTTCCCATTGAATTTTAAGCAAGCCCCCAGAATAGCTAACTAGCATCAAACTCCTGAAGAGACTGCTACTGTACCCATAGCGATGAAAGAGAAATACATAGAAATAAATAAATAAATGCAACTGTGACCAAAAACCTCACTATGCTGACATCCAAATGCTCTAGGGATCTGAGTTTGAATACAGTCTTCCCTGGTCTCCTCAGAAAGGGCCCAGGCTGAGAGTGAGGCTGAGATCTGAAGTTGACCCTTCTTCAGAGAGGGTTCAGTCCATAAAGTTGTCTGGGACAGCCCTCCTTCCCTAGCCATCTTTACCCTTTTCCACAGCCTTAAAGGTGATGTTCCACAGCTGACTGGGGGCACTGCACTTCCTACCTGAAGCAAGTGCTAGTCCATTTCAAGGAAAATGGCATTTCTCCTCATCAGATGAGGAAGGTGAAAAATGAAGAAACTCCAAGTAAAGGACAGGTAGAGGAAACAATAAAAAGCTAGTATCTTCATTTTTCAAGGTGGAGAATGAGCAATTCTGTCTGAAATTCATAGAACAAGGATAATAAGTGAAATGATTTTTTCACAGTAACACACAAGAAACAGATAAACTGAAAATAATAAAACAGTATTAGGAATATGGGCAACATAAAACGAAGAAGCAGTATAAACAAGTCCTTGCTATTCACCTCCTGGATGGAGTATGTCTAGGATAGATTATGTCCAAGAGTTCACCAGTCAAGAAAGAAGAGTATAAGCGTCTTATTGGAAGGCTAAACATAATGACCATAAGAACTAAAAATGAAAATCGTTAAATTTGGAACTAGGAATAGTGCAGGGTGGAGCAGAGGACAAGGAGGCTGGAGCCATATAAGACCCCTGTGCAACTGCATATTTTAACCATGTGCATGTTCTACTTTTATAAAAAGTAAGTATATGTGTAGAGTGCCAATATACACTTAATGACCAGCTCTAGCATCACCAAAAGTTAGGCATTATCTCCTAATAATGAAATACAATAACAATTGATGCCAATGACTGTGAATTATTTTTGTCTTAAAAGAAGCTAACTGTAATCAAACATTTATATTCTAACAACCAGTTTATTGGAAATACATGGAATAAAAAAATGAAAACAAACTGAACAACAGAAGAATAAAACAATCAACCAAATTTCAAAATGTTGGACATTCTAAAGGACAAATGATCAGTGTTCTAATAAATCAATAAATAAAAAGGGTGAAGAAGAAGAAGGACATAAGAAACATAAATTAAAGAAAATATGTAAAGCACGTTTGATTCCTGGTTTGAATAAGCCAAGTGTAAAAAATACATTATTGAGAGACAGTCAGGCAAGTGTGAATATAAACTGGGGAGAACACAAAGCAATTGCTATTAATTCAATCAGTTAAGACAATGGCACAATGAGTATGTTAAAAAATGACTTTGCAGTGAGAAATGAATATGAAAGTATTTATAGGTAAAATGATATAATATCTAAGATTTGCCTTAAAATATTGCAGCAAAACAAAATGCTATGGGTAATAGTGAGTAATAAAAAAATAAAAAGTGTTGATTGTTGGCTGTGAGTGATAGGTACACAAGTTCACTCTGCATATTATGGTCTCCATTTTCCATATGTTTGAAAGTTTCTAAAACAAAAAGATTTTAAAATTTTAGTAAAAAGTGCATGAAACTCAGATTACTAAGACACTTTAGTGACACATAATCATGTAGAAAAATTTTAAACTATAGATAAGCAAAATTAAGATTTTAAAAAAGTCACACAATATCATTGTGGTACACACTAGTTCAAACCTTTTTCTGTGTATGTGTGCGCAAAATAAAGTGGATGTTTCCACTGAAAGAAATATTTATTCTGAGAGAGAGGAACTGGGAGCCGGACTAAGTCCTCTGAGCTGATTCTACCGTCAGTTTGTGACAACTTCGAAAATGCTCTGGACTAAGTCACTGTAGATTTGCCTTGGAAAGCAGGGCTATGAGTGAACACTGCAACAACCATTAAGTTTTAGAGTATAAGCAATCTTGGTGTTGAGTATCTTTGGTCAAGGAAAACACAAAAGAAAATACATTTTTCCCTCACACCCTAAGGAGTGGGTTGCACTGGACAGAAATATGTATCGGCAGAAGGGACACTAAACACACCTTTCGTACCGACAAATTTCAAGGGCAATATTCACTTCCAGTCTTGTTAGAAATCTAAGGGGTACGGTGACTTATTATGGAGCAACTGGCACTCAGTGGTAATGTGCAGTCATTCAGCCTCAAGGGAGAGCTTCTGAATTCTGGCTCTTGCAACATGGCTAAGAAAACCAGAATAGGTCCTTTGGACATGAGAAAACAGCCAAAGGTGTTCTTGGAAATATATCTGAGGAAGGGCCTCAAGGAGAGAAAAACATTCCACCAGTCTTTGTAGGAAGGTGCTCTAGTGTTGTGCTTTGGGTACTACTGAAAAGCCGTTATATGCTTCCTAAGCAATTAAGCAAAGAATCTCACTTAAATACATATTTACATAAATATAATCAGATGTACACACTCATTGTTTTATTGCTCTTAATAAATTTGAACATATCAATAAATAAACTACAATATCTTATCACATAAGTATTTGATTATATGACTGCACTTCAATTTGCTCAATTTATCTTCTATATTTAGAAGTTTAGATTGTTTTCCAATTTTCGCTACTGCAAAAAAGTGACACAAATAAGTATTATGTAGTCAAATATTTGTGATGATCCTTAATTATTTTCTTAGGATGAATGTCAGACAGTGGAGTTTCTGAGTCAATGTAGTATTATAAATGAGCAAAAAAAAAAAAAAGAAAGAAAGAAAGAAAAGAAAAGAAACTGCCCCAAAACAGAGCTTAATATATGTAAAAAATTAAATATGTAATAAAGACATCATGGATTCGTGCAGAATAAAAGTTTTTCAATAAATTCTGTTAGGCCAATTGCTTAGCTCTTCGTGAGATTTATATTTTATACCCCTCTTTGTTACAGAAATGTTTTAAGATGCCTTAATATGTATCACACAGCAAGATAAGGCAAATTTAAGATGGGAGAAATGAAATAAGAGAAAGATAAAGACAAAAAGGAGAGAGGTTAATTTTTAATGCGTGCATTAATATATTATATACTTGCTGGACATGAGCCATAAACTTTATTTTAACTTTCTAGAATCCAGAAAGCATTAGTTACTTAATTCACATAGACCATAAGATAAACACAAACTGGTTGCTAAGGAAAAAAACACAAATACTTGTGTGTTGACCCCTGCAGGAAGTTTCTCCATAGGTTCTCTTGGAGAACAAGGTGTAAATGTAATGCACAACACCCTTATGGTATGCGCAGCAACGCATTTCGTCAGGCTGCTTCCCGCAATATCCTTCAACCTAAGTTAATGTCATTGTGTCAAAGTGCAAGTCAATACAAACTCCACAGGATATAGGAGCAATAAAACAAAGTTCACACAGGCAGCTCCCTATTGAACTGGTTTTATCCAGAGACAGAGTACCTGAAGGAAGATGAATGGCATATTTTTCAAGTCAATCTTCCTTAAATTTCTGTCAACAAGAACTTTGATGGATGTTGAGCAGAATTGATTTAGTATTAATATAATACTTTCTCAATGTACCCTGAGTGTAGCAATATTCAAAGAAGATAATGGGACACTGAAGCTCCTTACAAGCATACATAAACCTGCATAGAAGTCCATCTCATCTCCTTGAAGTAATCAGGGCAAGTAACTTGAAACCGTTTAGATGGAATAACTAAGTCAGTTAATGGGTCCATACTCTTTGCATCATGGTTCCTTATACCCCAGTAGTTAAATACTTATGTAATGAGACATTTCATGTATAATCTCCCTGCTAGACTATAAGCTCTAAGGGCAGGAATCATAGCAATCTCAACCAACACAGTACTGAAACATCACAGGCACTGACAACCTATCACTACCATCACAATTATGTGTCTTGCGTGGAATACTGACCAATAAATTCAGGCCTGTAACATACTAGGCAAAAGAATGGCACACATTTTGGGCAGACTGTTTAGTAAGTCAATAGTCTATACTTTGCAGGGATTAAAAATGCCCCTGTTTTATTAAAAGGAATACACTCAGACCTGGGAGTTCATATAATTAAATTCTACCTGTTGAGCTGATAAAATTGAAAATGTAAGCAAGAGCTAAAGGCCAAAATTCAGAGGGAGACTCTTGATAGTGTTAAGGTCAGGAATCCCTCCCCAGTTGCTTCTTTTAGCTTAAAACTTTAATTATATTCTATCTGGGTTCTGCAACGTTTGAAGCAGGTGCCTTTTGTTTATAAACTGGAAAGAATAAAATCTTCCAGGTGGTAATTTCCCAGAGGTATTGAACTTGTTAAACAAATGAATCTCTAATTGATGGAAATGCAGGCAGCTGTGGAGCTCATATTGTAGGGAGGGGAACTTTCTTTCATACAATACACTCTGCCTATTGGTAGATGAAAGTGGGGGGAAAAAGAGGAAGAAACATATGAGCCCCTTTCTCTTTCCCATTAATCCTTGTTTTCTTCATTTATAATTTTTTTCTAGTGTGCAGACCACTTTATAGCATATTTTGCACTATAAGTTACTTGGACATCTTGTACATATTCCATATTTTTAATAAATTGCCACATTTTATTAGAATTATTTAATAAGATATCTAACAACATGCTTTTCCTAAATAATGTAGCAAAAAAAATGCTCTTTGAGATTCTATAATAGCACCCCCAATCATGAGATATAAAAAGTCTAGTGAAAATATGATCATACTATAATGAGGTATATGTTTAGAATACTGACTCTATGAAAAATTTTTAACTCATATTTTTGTTTTTGCTCTGGCAGAACATGTAAAAATAAGCAACCTTATTAATACAGCAGTGAAAACATTCATACTAATGGAAGACTTTTTTGCTATCACTTTAGATAATATTCATAGTAAAACTAAACCTTTTAAACTAAATATTTAACTAGCTTTAAAATCTATCCTTGATCTTAGTGAGAAAAAGTAAATTTCTGTAATTATGGATGAATTTAACAAATTTTGCATATAATCCAAGAAACTAAACTAAACTCACCTGTTTCATTTGCCTATATCTCAATGATCAAGACAAAATACTAACTTTTCTTGAAACTAGACAAAATTAAATTCATTATTAAAACAACAGTTTACACCATTAAAGCAATAAAAAAAAAAAAAACAGTAGAGTCCTAGGCTCAATAAAACAAAGGGCAGAGTGCCATCTATGTATAATTATCCAGAGGCCTGAACCACTCTTTCCCATTCTTGGGACACTGATCACTTTTATCACATTTCCAACTCTCAAGAGAATTCCAAAGTAGGAGAGAGGAGAAATAGTGAAGGGGAAAAATAGAGCAGAGGGAGAACGAATGTCTGGCGCTTTAGGAGAGGCAGGTAGAGTCCCTGCAAGTTTTCCAGAGAGGAGAAAAGAGAATCTTTTTTCACTGAGTCAACAAACATGAATGCTTTCAACATGCCAGAAAATGTTCTAGACATTATTATGGCATCAATTTTAAGTAGTTAAAATAACGCCTTCAAAGATTCAGACCATAATAGTCCTTGTCCAAAATATCATATGACTGATGTGGAGCAAGAAACGTGTCCATCAAGAAATCCAGAGTAAAGGCAGGAGTGACATCAGCAAATGAGAAGGACTGATATCAACCAGCTTTAAACTGTCATGATGAAAAAGCAACATCAGTTGAGGGATGCCAAATGACTCATGTTTTTCTTTATTTTTGTTTTCTATTATGATGGAGAAATATGCTTTTTGACAACTCGTATATTGAATATGACTTAGATTTCACAATTTAAAGCATAAGTTTTAAGTCTACGGCAATTCTTTGGTAGCAGATCTGGTATACATGTGTTCTCCCCTGAACCCCACCATACCCACTCCTGATGTTCTTCTTACTTTGGACTTCTTTGCAATTTAGGACAAGTTTTGTAACAGTGAGAATCCTAAATATAATGGTGACAAAAATTTTAATTGCTTGACAAAATGACTAGTATAGTGCAAGACCTAAGATAAAAGCTTACTTTGGAACATATAACATGTCAAGGCTTCAGGGCCATATACACCCTGACAGTGTCAGTTACTCTCTTTTGACCCAACTCCTTCTGAAAATTTCACAGCTGTGCTATCTCTCTCCTTTCCTGCATTAAGTATCACATTAATCCTCTGACCCTATCCTCACTAAGCATCGTTGAATACAGGTGCCCTCCTCTGTCAGCTCCTTGATGCTCACTGCTCACAAAAATAACCAGGTTCAGAAAAAAAAAATCCTAACCTGCCTTTACCCCCACCTATCTCAGGGAAAACTTAGGAAAATATCAGGAGTCATAAATAATAATTGTATAAATGGTAACTCCATTAAAAAAAATTATTACAACCACAAACATTCAAAAACCACATTCTAACATCTTAAACATAGTAGTGGTTCAGTAAACATTTATTGAAACTGAACAAACAAATGATAAAGAAAATCAGTCTTCCTTTCCACTCACTAAATTGTAGTTGAATTACAGTTGTTTAATAAGATGGTAAAGGTCTACTTACGCTACATAATGTAGCCCATCCTCTGTGTCTGTGGGTTCTACATGCACACATTCAACCAACTGGAGATCTGAAATATTTAAAAATTAAAAATCATAATAATAATATAAATAAAATACTCCAAAACAACTATTTTTATAGCATTTACATTGTTTAGGTATTGTAAGTAATCTAGACATGATTTAAAGTACATAGGAGGATGTCCATAGGTTATATATAAATACTACACCATATTATATAAGGGATTTGACCACCCTCAGATTTTGGTATCTATCGGGTATCCTGGAACCAATCCCCCATGGATATGGAGGGATGACTGCATTTTTCACGATTTTGTTATTACTGTTCTCTTTTCTAACCTATGAAATACTACAGTCTGCAATTTAAATATTTGTATGTATATATTTAATTAGAAATAACAAATTTGTAGGTTGGGGTCTTTCCTCCTCAATAAAAGCTATTTTAATCCAGAAGATAAGAAATCTAAGACCACTTTATTTGGTCAACAATAACTAAACTAAAATGTCCTAAATTAGGTCATAGTACAGGAGACCCTACTGACTGAAATAAGCCATTAGGCTATTTCAAGTTCCAACTTCTTTTATTTTTTCTAGATAATTATAAGACATAACAAAAAAACGAATAAACACTTTCTACATCCTCATGCAGACATGACATTTAGGCCTTCATAGTTCATAATTTCCACAAAAGTCAAATGGCTATTACTAGTCATCCTGAGCTGTCATAGCTTATAAAGCAATTAAGACCTTTTCAAGGGTTTGTAATGGCTATTTTTTCTTAAAATACTATGGCAAGCAACAAATGACATTTGGCTGCACTTAAGTCATTTTAATGGTTTGATTGGATCACATTCATCATTAGACCAAAAAACTCAGAGGGCACTTTTCTCATAAATCTCTTTATACAAATCACTGCTGCACATGCATTACTTAACAGACTGTTCTCAATTCCTAAGTACAAGGACATAAAGGTAGTCTTGAAGTTTAAGCTGCACCTCTATTATCATACCTTGAATTGGTGCACTAATACCAGACTACATCCTCAGCATTTTATAGGAACTCTTTCTGTTGCTATAGAGCCTTCATGCCTACATATGTTTATGTATGGGAAGACATACGGCTACTACCAGAAGGAAGCATTTTTGAAAGCAATCTGTAATCATAGCTAAGTCTTTTATGCTAGGTCTTTTAAATGATGTGGAAGACAAGTGTAATGAGCAAATCTATGTACTGGCTGGAGTGACAGGTGCAGATAAAGTCAAGCTCTGATTATCAACAAAGAACAGGCTGAAGCTCAGTGCTTAAGAGAAATGAACAGAAATGTGCTGCCTGAAGGCTCCAAAGCAAATGCTGAGGCCTTGATGACAGCTTCCATTTTCACTTACAACTTGCAAAAGATTGATGACAAGTGGTAGACGAAGGAAAAAGATAGCCCTGATCCTATATATACACAGCATATTTCAGCAGTTTCCTTGGGAATATTAAAGTTATTGTTTTTACATCCTAAATCCAGATATAGTTCCAACGAGTAATCAAGAATCTAACCAAAATTACATTAACCCACAGGAATTGAAAGCATAGAATAATGAAAGCTAAAAATGTATTTAAGAAGAGAGAGCTGAAATTTAAACTAGTCTTTCATAATATTCAATATATAATTGAGCTGATGCATGCTGTCTTAGTGTGTTTTTGCTGCTATAACAAAATACCTTAAATTGGGCAATTTATAAAAGACAGAAATTTATTTCTCACAGTTCTGGAGGCTGGGTAGTCCATGATCAAGGCACTGGCCTGTTGCATGTTTGGTGAAAATTGCTGTCTGCTTCCAAGATGGAGTCTTGTTGCTGCATCCTCCAGAGAGAACTAACCCAGTGTCCTCATATGATGGAAGGAATGAAGGGCCAGAGAACTCTCCTTTCAACCTTGAGCCTGTTTACAAGAATGTGACTCCCATTTATGAGGGTGGAGCCCTTATGACTTAATAACCTCTCAAAGGTCATACCTCTTAATACTGTTGCATTGAGGATTAAGTTTCAGCATAAATTTTAGAGAGGATGACATCACTCAAATGATGAAATATGTGCTTAACTTCATGGGATGTAAATTAACAGGTAGTAATATTTTCTTTTTGCTACACTTAGGTGATCACAGTTCTTTTGGTTGCCATCCATGAATCATTGTATTGTTGCAATTACTCCTCTTTGGTAGCATAAAAAGCCAACAATCAATTAAACAATAAGCTTTCTCCTATCATTTATGAAATAGAGAAGATTGATTGATAGGGAAGTTGGGTGGTTATGGTTTTCTGTTTTCTATTTATCAACTCCCTGGTACTTCATTGAATCTTAGACACTATCAATTATAAGACACATCATTATTTTATATACCACTACAAAAGTTTTTAAAAACCTGATAACTGAACTATGACATTAAACTATGACATACCATCAATTATATGCCACATTCTAATTTCAAAGATGTTAAATGTGAAAAATATGGTAATCTCAGAATTGCTGAAATATGGTATCATGCTACACATGAAGAAAAGGGCCACATCTTGGTCCAAAAAATGCATAATTAGATAATTAATTAACCATTACCTAATACACAGATATAAAACTTTAATTTTATAAGCAGTTGAGATCCAGAAGAGCAGATGACTTAAATCACAGAGAACTGATGGGGTTGTTGAGATTTAAATGCAGATTTGCACTAACTGTGATGGCAGCTTCCGTAACTGCAACTCCTACTTCAAACAGTAGGTGACTATGTGCCTGGCAGTGAGTCATGTAACCCTCTCTCTGGATCACTAGATTAAGAATGAAGGTCCACAATAAGAACGTAGCACCAGGTTCTCTCTACAATCCTTTTCAGACTTAATGATCTTTAGTTATTATGCATAAATGCAATAGCATATTCTACACAAAACTATAAAGTAAAAATCTAAAATGTTTATGAAGGATCCGATCTTCACTCATGCCTATTATAATCAACACTTATTATTTTATTGTCTGTATGCCAACTAATTTCAGAAATAATTTAAAGGAGCTTAAAGAAATAGACAAATATATAATAAAGCCATTAAAGTAAATCAGAGGAAAAAGAATTAAATACTAAAGGGTAGAAGATAATTGTATCATAAAACCTAGGCCAAGAAGAGCTATATAAATTTAATCAAAAAATTAGTTATGGGCATCTTTAAAATTCAAAACAACAAAAAATATTTAAAATGATTTAAGGAGCATTTGTAAGATTTATTACAGGAAATATTCCTTAAGAGGAGAATTACAAGGAAAGACACTGATGTTTCTGGACAGAGTCTTGAGCGAAATTAATAAAGAGATTCCTAACGTGTTTTGCATCATTGACCCTTTTAACAATTGCTTTGAGCCCTGCCCCAAATTTCCGTATGCAAATACACATAAAATACTGCATGTTGTTTCAGGGAGTTCTTGAAACTAGAATTAAAAACTTCTGCCTTGATTTCTCATCCTTCTGTCTGTGCCAGAAATTAAGGCCTGCATTCATGGTTTGGGCAATTCCTACCACACATGAGCTGAGGGGAACTTCCATTTTTCATTCCTTCTGCACTGAACTCTCCTGTAATCCCTTTACACCAAAGTAGGACACATGCTATACACAGATGCCACTGAGATGTGGCATCTCAGTGAGATGTGATCTTCAACTTTGCTGAAGGGTGTGATTCCCCAGTCCTGGGGTGAATTCTTTAATGCCAACCCCTACAACAATTTACCTCTATGTTCTTCTACATCTCCATGCCAAAAAAAATCTGTAATTTTTATTGCTTTTAGTTTTAGAAGTATGTTCCATTTCCTTCAATTTAAATAAATCTTGATTGCCACTTCAAAATTGATTTAAATTATACAAGTAGTACAACTTATCATGAAATCATCAATCTAAAAGTGTAGGTAGTATGAAAGCATGTGGAAAATCTTCCCATGTGTCACTTCTCAATCTTAAAATTTGAGTGTATTTTTCCAGAATTTTATCCATGTTATAAACCAGCATACTTCTGTGAACTCAAACACAAAGATACATGAATTTATTATTATATAAATAGTAGGAAACTTATTGCTTTATACTTATTGCTTTGCTCTATAATACCATGTGCATATCAAGTAGAAGTTTACTGCAAATATAAGGTAAATTTTTACTTTCCCAATAAGTGGATCCAATATTTTTGGAAGGTGGTCAGCTTTAGTGTACAGACATTTAGAGATGTATATAAAATAGCCAATGTCTGCTTATAATGTTGACTTAATTTTGGAATGATACATGCTTTAAATGAAACATTGTATGAAATACCACTTTGCTCCCACTCTCCAGTTTCATGAAACTGAAACATTTCAGATGTATGTTGAACATAAATATTTGTGATCATTAGAGCTAGTTTTGGAGTCTTGTAACTTAACTTTTTGAAGTGTTTTATCTTCAACTCCATCTAACTGTTGGGAATGCCATTACAGCAAATGTATTCCAAACCATAAGAACTCACTCACAAACTACTAGAACAATAATTTTTTATTATGAGGATTATTTCCATTTATCTAATAGACCAGCAGTTATCGAAGTGTGATTCTGAGCCAGGAGCATCAGCATCACCTGGAAACTTACCAAAAATGCAAAATGCCAGGCCTGGCATTTATCTGACCTATGAATTAGAAACGTTTGAGAGGGTGGGGCCAAGTAATCTGTATTTTAACAAACCCTCCAGATGCTTCTGTTGCACACTGAAGTTTGAGAAGCACTACAGTAGATATTTATTTCCATTTTCCATAACATATTTACTTATTGCACTGCTTTAAAAATAATATTTTTAAACTTTATAAACAGTTTCAAACACTTTTATTTGTGAATGTATATACACAGGAATAAATAACTAACTCTACTTCTACTTCTCTACTACTTGGACTTCTTCAAAACTATTTTATTGATTACATCAGATGAGCTTAACAAGAGAGCATAAATGGCACTGATAAAAATTACTGAAAGCTATATCCTCCAAACAGCATTTCTTGCTTCAAACAGGATAATTGAGATAACATCCTATAATATGATTTCAAGAGGTCTCAAACATAAAGTAATTGTATCTTTTTTGAGGAATAATTTTTGGAAAACAATATTTCCTTATAATTATGCATGTATACTACTCCCATAGCTTCATAACATTTACCACTGTTGAGAATTTATGTGTATGGATTATAACTAAGTTCTGGTTATGGCAACTTATCACAATTTATCAGCACTGTAAGAATTACCTGTGACCAGGAAGAATATCTAATTTACATATTTGTAAAATCCAAAGTCAGATAAGAGGTTGTAGCAGAGTCAAATGTTCACTATGCCCATTTAGAACCAACATATTAGGGCTTTGACCCTGCTTTGTAACACCTGCTTCCTCTGCAGGACTGTCTGTTGCTCTTCCACTGTTCCAATGCTGGAAGGTGGAGTCTCTGGCCACAAGCTCTGGACTTTGCTCTGACAAGAGATCCTTGTACTGAATCTTATCCACAGTGATGATCTAGGCAGCCACCAGTGGGAGAGGAACACTACAAGGCAACTAAGGAACAATCACAGATACCACCTAGATGCTACTGTAATGGAGGCTATGGTATTCCACTTAGATTCTCCATTTAGGACCAGGGCACTCATTGCCCCAGCTGCCAGGAATGTTTGCCAACCACGCTTCATAGCTCAATCCCACTACAGGAATTGGCCTCAACCAAAGAAACTTCCTTCACCCACACTTATACCCTCCACAGGGACAACCTATATTCAAAGACTGCTCAATGTAAGGGTACAAAGACTCAACACTCTTGCTTCCATTTATGACAACTTTGAAAGTCCATCCCAGCCCCAGAAATCCCCATGGGGTCAACTAAATATTCCAACAGCATCACAGTTCAGCTTTTCCACTGCCCAATCTGGCAGCCCTCTCTCCCTCACAGGTGTTCCCCAAAGCACTCCCAATACATCACCTACATGCAAATCTCTGTCCCAGATCTGTTTCCCAGAGAAACTGACATAAGACAGGAACTGTGGCCTCCTGCCCATACTGTCTCTCTTCCTCAAAAGTGTTGGTGGGAGATTTAATTTATACAGATTACATAATTTTATACTAAATAATCTGTTGTGTTAAATAATTCTATGATAAATGTAAGTATTTTGTGAAGGTTACCTTGGTCAGTTTCTCCATTTTTACATTAAATCCAATTGATATAGTATTGTATTACAGGCTTTAGACCTGCAGTTGTTTTGTTGCTACCCTCCTACATTTTTTAAACCAAATGTTGAATACTATTCTAATATGTGGATATACTACAATCTATTTAACCAATTCACTATTAATACAAGTATTTTTAAATTAGATTTAATATTATGGAAATAATTTCTACATATGATTTGAAAAGAGTAATTACAAAGTAGAATATATGTAATATCTCCCATACTGTATCCCCGATTTCTAGTTCCCAAAAATGATCACTTTAAAGTATGTGGTTTTTGATCTTTAGGGACTGCCATTACAATTCTAAATAAAATAAGTAAACTTTTTTTCAGTTTATCAATTTGGATTGTATTTGTTGATGTCTCTTATGAAAGAGGACTGCTTTGACTATGTTTTATCAGCCACTTCCTCATTTTACTTAGTTATATTATTACATGTAGTTGTTCTAATGGTCTCCCTTTTAAGTTTAAATAATGTACTGAATCCTCAAATTCTTGATTCACCATTGTAAGACATTATTAACTTTTGACTGTTTATAATAATAGTAAGTAGTGTGACTAGACCTGAAGTTAAATATTTTTCTTCCTCTTAAAAGAAAGAAACACCTATGCTTGTAGATCTTCTGAAGAGTTTCTTTAACTGCCTTTATTTATTTTATCCTATTTCATCTTTCCTGTATGGCCTGGGAGACTCTGGTAAGTGTGATGATTCACAAGTTGAGTTGTGAAGTTAAAGGATCTGATTTACATTTTTATTTATTTTTTTATTTATTTAGAGACGGAGTCTTGGTCTGTCGCCCAGGCTGGAGTGCAGTGGCATGATCTCAGCTCACTGCAACCTCTGCCTCCCAGGCTCAAGCGATTCTCCTGTCTCAGCCTCTGGAGTAGATGGGACTAAAGGTGTGTGCCACCACACCTGGCTAATTTTTGTATTTTTAGTAGAGATGGGGTTTTGCCATGTTGGTCTCAAACTCTTGACCTCAGGTGATCCACCTGCCTCAGCCTCCCAGAGTGCTGGGATTATAGGCGTGAGCCACCACACTAGGCCCTGATATATAATTTTAAAGGATAACTGTGACTGTTTGGAAAATAGATGGTAAAACAAGAATTCCAGTTAGAAAGATATTGTACTGGTCCAGTCTAAAATGGGAGAGGTAGACATTGTCAATAGTCAGACCTAGATATATTTTGAAGGTTAAATTGATGGCCTTGGTGTGGGATTAGATACCAGATTGCAAAAACAGAAGCAGAATCAAGGATGACTCTTAGATTATTGTCTTAGAAATCTGGGAGAATGATGAAGCCAACTGCTATGGTTTGAATGTTTGTCCCTTCTAAAATTCATGTTGAAATTTAATTGCCATTTTAACAGTATTAAAAGGTGAGACCTTTAAGAGGTGATTAGGCCATGAGGGATCCACCCTCATTGGTGGAATTGGTGCCTTTATAAAAGGATGAATTTGAACCCCTCTTGACCTCTCTCACCCCATCATCTTCCACCATGAGATGACACAGGAAGGGACTTCCTAGACTCCAGAACTGTGAGCCAATACATTTTGTTCATTATAAATTACCTAGTCTCAGGTATTCTATTATAATGGCACAAAACAGACAAAGACACCAACTAAAAAGACGTGAAAGACTGGGAAAAAGAACAATATTCGAAGAGAAATATCAAGAGAGTCCTACTTAATGTCTTGAAAACACTTCGAACTTAGCACGTTTTAAAACTAAAAGTGCCTAGCACATAACAGGTCATCAATAGATTTTTATTAAATGAAATGAAGGAAGAAAAGGCAGAAAAAATAAATAGGAAAGATTCAGCTATACAGAAGGCAATTCTTAATTATTCTACTTATCTATGGCCCAGTTTCTCTTTTTGTAATTATTGATCCTGTCTTAGAATCTCCTGGGGCTCACTTGGGAAAAACTATTCATAGCTTTCATTTTCATTGTTGGTCTCTCTAGTTTCCCTATCAGTTCCAACCTGTCTGTTTTGTATCTTCCATGAGGTCCTTAATACCCCTGACGTGTTGATGTTGCTCTTTCTTTTCTTGCAGCACAGTTATGACTTCATTCTTTTGAAATTTACTTTATGTCATTTGCATAATACTTTGGAGAAAAGGAGAGATGAAAGTGGGTATTTAGCACACTACGTTGAACTAAAGGACTCCATAAATAATGTTTAAAGTTGGTAAGAATTACTTGAACAAAATTTTAAATCTCTAGATTGTATAAGTATTAGGTTGCAAATGTATCATTTTAAAATAGCATTGACACTAGATGGAAAACAATGTATTAGAAAGAAAAAAAAGGATATCTAGCTCCTCACTGCAGGAGTTTGTAATATTTTTAAAAAGACAAAGACAAATTAAAATAAATATATATAAAGGATATGAAAATAGTCTATTAATTATACAACAGTCCAGAAAACAATGTCACACCAAATTCAAAAACTGCAACAAAAAATACTTGCAACAGCATGGATTTCTGTCTTACATTTTGTTTTTCATTTTGCTTTCTTTTCTTTCCATATGTGAGAAGCATTGAGGCAAGAATGAATGTGTC
This sequence comes from Homo sapiens, assembly GCF_000001405.40. Taxonomy (NCBI): domain Eukaryota; kingdom Metazoa; phylum Chordata; class Mammalia; order Primates; family Hominidae; genus Homo; species Homo sapiens. The sequence continues at coordinate 101,196,312 of NC_000006.12, read as the reverse complement.
ATTTCTGTTTCTCAATTGGAGAAAAAATTCAGAGAAGCGAGATTTTACAGATATTATCAAAAACTGATATTTACTGTCTCTCTTCCACCTGATCTAAAAAGGATAACACAATAGCAGACCCCATTGCATATTCTGTATGTCGCAGTAATATTCAATGAAAATACCATTATCCACTTTCCCCCCTTCAACATCCTATACCACCAAGAAAATCTCTTTGCACAGAGTGGTTTTAGAATAAATATAATTGACTGACAAACCTAGAAGAAATGGTAAATACTTTAAACCATTCCCTCATTTCCATTTTTTAAAATTATAGCTTATTGAGCTTCTCTGAAGTCAAAGCAGCTGGGGAAGTATGCAGGAGTTTGAGGGCAGGCCAACAACCTAATTCAAAACATTACATAGGCCTAGAATAGATGTAAAATGCATTGCAACAGAATAAAGACATGGCTACTCCTACTCACATGCAGGGGGAAATGTGAAATGAAACTTACTATGAACTGATTATCTTCCTTCCTTTCCTGAATATAGGTCTTCTAAATTTCAAGCTATGAGCAATGACAAAGGAATGAACTAAACCCTATGTTGTCTGCATCTAACCATCTGCTTTTCAAAGTTATGTTTTAAAAGGACACATAGGGACAAAGCAATCAGAATCTCTTCTACTGCAAACATTCTTTAAATTTCTTTAAAAAGATTTTCCTTAAATAGAAGGAATCTGGGATGAAAATAAATCTTGAATGTTTAGTCATCCATTTGACCATGAAAACAAAGCATTCAGACATTTTTAATAAAAATGCCATATCAGTTGGGATTTGAACCTAATGTTTTTGAAATATAAGGTACTTAAAACTGTTTATAGTGCTCTTTTTATTTGTTTTAATGAGACCGATTCCACTTATCTAGCTTTTCTAAAAAGCGAGTCATGGAGAAATGAAATTTTGACACTTCTAGTTCTATAAAACACATACACACACACCACATACACATACACACGCACTCACACAAATGACAACTTTGCTGCTATTTACAGATAAAAGTTAAATTTTGAACACCTTTTTTCTAGCAGTCATGTCTTCTAAATATATAGCATATTATCTGAGTATTCCAATAATTACATAGCTCTCCTTTCTGTGTCTGGTTTAATTAGCTATTATTTTTCCTATTAATGAAGTAAATCAGAATCATAGATAAACCAAAATACAGTTGTGTGATGGGCCGCATATATGCTGGTAGTCCCATAAGATTATAACGGAACTGAAAAATCCCTATTGCCTAGTGATGTAGTAACCATCATAATGTCATAGCACAATGCATTATTTATGTGTTTGTGGTAATGCTTGTATAAACAAAACTACTGCACTACCAGTTACATAAAACTATAGCACACACAGTTACGTACAGTACATAATTCTTGATAATAAATGCCTATGTTACTGGTTTATGTACTTACCATATTTTTTATCATTATTCTAGAGTGTACCCCTTCTACTTATTAAAAACAAAAATTTAACTGCAAAAACACCTCAGGTAGGAGGTATTCCAGAAGAAGGCATTGTTATCACAAGAGATGATAGTTTCATGAACATTATTGCCTCTAAAGACCTTCCAGTGGAATAAAATGTCAAAGTGGGAGACAATGAGTGATACTGATCCTGAACCTGTGTAGGCTAATGCCTGTGTTTGTGTCTTAGTGGGTTTTTTTTTCTATTTTTTTATTATACTTTAAGTTCTAGGGTACATGTGCACAACGTGCAGGTTTGTTACATATGTATACATGTGCCATGTTGGTGTGCTGCACCCATTAACTCATAATTTACATTAGTTATATCTCCTAATGCTATCCCTCCCCCCTTCCCCGACCACATGACAGGCCCTGGTATGTGATGTTCCCCACCTTGTATACAAGTGTTCTCATTATTTTTTAATTTTTTTTTAATTTTTTTTTTGAGACGGAGTCTCACTCTGTCACCCAGGCTGGAGTGCAGTGGTGCGATCTCGGCTCACTGCAAGCTCCACCTCGCAGGTTCACACGATTCTCCTGCCTCAGCCTCTTGAGTAGCTGGGAATACAGGTGTCTGCCACCACACCCGGCTAATTTTTTGTATTTTTAGTAGAGACAGGGTTTCACAGTGTTAGCCAGGGTGGTCTCGATCTCCTGACCTCGTGATCCGCATGCCTCAGCCTCCCAAAGTGCTGGGATTACAGGCGTGAGCCAGCGCACCTGGCCAAGTGTTCTCATTGTTCAATTCCCACCTATGAGTGAGAACATGTGGTGTTTGGTTTCCTGTCCTTACGATAGTTTGCTGAGAATGTTGGTTTCCAGCTTCATCCATGTCCCTACAAAGGACAATTAACTCATCCTTTTTATGGCTGCATAGTATTCCATGGTGTATATGTGCCACATTTTCTTAATCCAGTCTATCATTGTTGGACATTGGGGTTGGTTCCAAGTTTTTGCTATTGTGAATAGTGCTGCAATAAACATATGTGTGCATGTGTCTTTATAGCAGCATGATTTATAAACCTTTGGGTATATACCCAGTAATGGGATTGCTGGGTCAAATGGTATTTCTAATTCTAGATCCCCGAGGAATCGCCACACTGACTTCCACAATGGTTGAAGTAGTTTACAGTCCCACCAACATGTAAAAGTGTTCCTATTTCTCCACATCCTCTCCAGCACCTGTTGTTTCCTGACTTTTTAATGATTGCCATTCTAACTGGTGTGAGATGATATCTCATTGTGGTTTTGATTTGCATTTCTCTGATGGCCAGTGATGATGAGCATTTTTTCATGTGTTTTTTGGCTGCATAAATGTCTTCTTTTGAGAAGTGTCTGTTCATATCCTTCGCCCACTTTTTGATGGGGTTGTTTGTTTTTTTCTTGTAAATTTGTTTGAGTTCATTGTAGATTCTGGATATTACCCCTTTCTCAGATGAGTAGATTGCAAAAATTTTCTCCCATTCTGTAGGTTGCCTGTTCACTCTGATGGTAGTTTCTTTTGCTGTGCAGAAGCTCTTTAGTTCAATTAGATCCCATTTGTCAATTCTGGCTTTTGTTGCCATTGCTTTTGGTGTTTTAGATATGAAGTCCTTGCCCATGCCTGTGTCCTGAATGGTATTGCCTAGGTTTTCTTCTAGGGTTTTTGTGGTTTTAGGTCTAACATTAACCCATCTTGAATTAATTTTTGTATAAGGTGTAAGGAAGGGATCCAGTTTCAGCTTTCTACATATGGCTAGCCAGTTTTCCCAGCACCATTTATTAAATAGGGAATCCTTTCCCCATTGCTTGTTTTTCTCAGGTTTGTCAAAGATCAGATAGTTGTAGATATGCGGCATTATTTCTGTGGGCTCTGTTCTGTTCCATTGGTCTATATCTCTGTTTTGGTACCAGTACCATGCTGTTTTGGTTACTGTAGCCTTGTAGTATAGTTTGAAGTCAGGTAGCGTGATGCCTCCAGCTTTGTTCTTTTGGCTTAGGATTTTCTTGGCAATGCGGGCTCTTTTTTGGTTCCATATGAACTTTAAAGTAGTTTTTTCCAATTCTGTGAAGAAAGTCATTGGTAGCTTGATGGGGATAGCATTGAATCCATACATTACCTTGGGCAGTATGGCCATTTTCACAATATTGATTCTTCCTATCCATGAGCATGGAATGTTCTTCCATTTGTTTGTGTCCTCTTTAATTTCGTTGAGCAGTGGTTTGTAATTCTCCTTGAAGAGGTCCTTCACATTCCTTGTAAGTTGGATTCCTAGGTATTTTATTCTCTTTGAAGCAATTGTGAATGGGAGTTCACTCATGATTTGGCTCTCTGTTTGTCTGTTATTGGTGTATAGGAACGCTTGCGATTTTTGCACATTGATTTTGTATCCTGAGATTTTGCTGAAGTTGCTTATCAGCTTAAGGAGATTTTGGGCTGAGAAGATGGGGGTTTCTAAATATACAATCATGTCATCTGCAAACATGGACAATTTGACTTCGTCTTTTCCTAATTGAATACCCTTTATTTCTTTCTCCTGCCTGATTGCCCTGGCCAGAACTTCAAACACTATGTTGAATAGGAGTGGTGAGAGAGGGCATCCCTGTCTTGTGCCAGTTTTCAAAGGGAATGCTTCCAGTTTTTGCCCACTCAGTGTGATATTGGCTGTGGGTTTGTCATAAATAGCTCTTATTATTTTGAGATACGTCGCATCAGTACCTAATTTATTGAGAATTTTTAACATGAAGTGCTACTGAATTTTGTCGAAGGCCTTTTCTGCATCTATTGAGCTAATCATGTGGTTTTTGTCTTTGGTTCTGTTCATATGATGGATTACGATTTATTGATTTGCATATATTGAACCAGCCTTGCATCCCAGGGATGAAGCCCACTTGATCATTGTGGGTAAGCTTTTTGATGTGATGCTGGATTTGGTTTGCCAGTATTTTATTCAGGATTTTTGCATCGATGTTCATCAGGGATATTGGTCTAAAATTCTCTTTTTGGTTGTGTCTCTGCCAGGCTTTGGTATCAGGATGATGCTGGCCTCATAAAATGAGTTAGGGAGGATTCCCTCTTTTTCTATTGATTGGAACAGTTTCAGAAGGAATGGTACCAGCTCCTCTTTGTACCTCTGGTAGAATTCAGCTGTGAATCCATCTGGTCCTGGACTTTTTTTGGCAGGTAAGCTATTAATTATTGCCTTAATTTCAGAGCCTGTTATTGGTCTATGCAGGGATTCAACTTCCTCCTGGTTTAGTCTTGGGAGGGTGTATGTGTTAAGGAATTTATCCATTTCTTCTGGATTTTCTAGTTTATTTGCATAGAGGTGTTTATAGTATTCTCTGATGGTAGTTTGTATTTCTGTAGGATCAGTGGTGATATCCCCTTTATCACTTTTATTGCGTCTATTTGATTCTTCTCTCTTTTCTTCTTTATTAGACTTGCTAGCAGTCTATCAATTTTGTTGATCTTTTCAAAAAACCAGCTCCTGGATTCATTGATTTTTTGAAGGATTTTTTTGTGTCCCTATCTCCTTCAGTTCTGCTCTGATCTTAGTTATTTCTTGCCTTCTGCTAGCTTTTGAATGTGTTTGCTCTTGCTTCTCTAGTTCTTTTACTTGTGATGCTAGGGTGTCAATTTTAGATCTTTCCTGCTTTCTGTTGTGGGCATTTAGTGCTATAAATTTCCCTCTAGACACTGCTTTAAATGTGTCCCAGAGATTCTGGTATATTGTATCTTTGTTCTCACTGGTTTCAAAGAACATCTTTATTTCTGCCTTCATTTCGTTATGTACCCAGTAGTCATTCAGGAGCAGGTTGTTCAGTTGCCATGTAGTTGAGCAGTTTTGAGTGAGTTTCTTAATCCTGAGTTCTACTTTGATTGCACTGTGGTCTGAGAGACTGTTTGTTATAATTTCTGTTCTTTTACATTTGCTGAGGAGTGCTTTACTTCCAACTATGTGGTCAATTTTGGAATAAGTGTGATGTGGTGCTGAGAAGAATGTATATTCTGTTGATTTGGGGTGGAGAGTTCTGTAGATGTCTATTAGGTCTGCTTGGTGCAGAGCTGAGTTCAATTCCTGGATATCCTTGTTAACTTTCTGTCTCATGGATCTCTCTAATGTTGACAGTGTGGTGTTAAAGTCTCCCATTATTATTGTGTGGGAGTCCAAGTCTCTTTGTAGGTCTCTAAGAACTTGCTTTATGAATCTGAGTGCTCCTGTATTGGGTGCATATATATTTAGGATAGTTAGTTCTTCTTGTTGAATTGATCCCTTTACCATCATGTAATGGCCTTCTTTGTCTCTTTTGATCTTTGTTGGTTTAAAGTTTGTTTTATCAGAGACTAGTATTGCAACCCCTGCTTGTTTTGTTTTCTGTTTGCTTTGTAGATCTTCCTCCATCCTTTTACTTTGAGCCTATGTGTGTCTCTGCACGTGAGATGGGTTTCCTGAATACAGCACACTGATGGGTGTTGACTCTTTATCCAATTTGACAGTCTGTGTCTTTTAATTGGAGCATTTAGCCCATTTACATTTATGGTTAATATTGTTATGTGTGAATTTGATCCTGTCATTATGATGTTAGCTGGTTATTTTGCTCATTAGTTGATGCAGTTTCTTCCTAGCAACGATGGTCTTTACAATTTGGCATGTTTTTGCAGCAGCTGGTACCGGTTGTCCCTTTCCATGTTTAGTGCTTCCTTCAGGAGCTCTTGTAAGGCAGGCCTGGTGGTGACAAAATCTCTCAGTATTTGCTTGTCTGGAAAGGATTTTATTTCTCCTTCATGTATGAAGCTTAGTTTGGCTGGATATGAAATTATGGGTTGAAAATTCTTTTCTTTAAGAATGTTGATTATTGGTCCCCTCTCTTCTGGCTTGTAGAGTTTCTGCCAAGAGATCTGCTGTTAGTCTGATGGGTTTCTCTTTGTGGGAAACTCATCCTTTCTCTCTGGCTGCCCTTATCAGATTTTCTTTCATTTCAACTTTGGTGAATCTGACAATTATGTGTCTTGGAGTTGCTCTTCTCGAGGAGTATCTTTGTGGTGTTCTCTGTATTTCCTGAATCTGAATGTTGGCCTGCCTTGCTAGATAGGGGAAGTTCTCCTGGATAATATCCTGAAGAGTGTTTTCCAACTTTGTTCCATTCTCCCTGTCACTTTCAGGTACACCAATCAGATGTAGATTTGGTCTTTTCACATAGTCCCATATTTCTTGGAGGCTTTGTTCATTTCTTTTTACTCTTTTTTCTCTAAACTTCTCTTCTTGCTTCATTTCATTCATTTGATCTTCAATCACTGATACCTTCTCTTCCAGTTGGTCGAATCAGCTACTGAAGCTTGTGCATGTGCCATATAGTTCTTGTGCCATGGTTTTCAGCTCCATCAGGTCAATTAAGGTCTTCTCTACCCTATGTATTCTTGTTAGCCATTCGTTCGATCTTTTTTTCAAGATTTTTAGCTTCTTTGTGATGGGTTCGAACATCCTCCTTTGGCTCAAAGAAGTTTGTTATTACTGATCTTCTGAAGCCTTCTTCTCTCAACTCGTCAAAGTCATTCTCCGTCCAGCTTTGTTCCGTTGCTGGTGAGGAGCTGCATTCCCTTGGAGGAGAAGAGGTGCTCTGATTTTTAGAATTTTCAGCTTTTCTGCTCTGGTTTATCCCCATCTTTGTGGTTTTATCTACCTTTCCTCTTTGATGATGGTGACATACACATGACGTTTTGGTGTGGATGTCCTTTCTGTTTGTTAGTTTTCCTTCTAACAGTCAGGACCCTCAGCTGCAGGTCTGTTGGAGTTTGCTGGAGGTCCACTCCAGACCCTGTTTCCTAGGTATCACCAGCGGAGGCTGCAGAACCACAAATATTGCAGAACAGCAAATGTTGCTGCCTGATCGTTCCTCTGGAAGCTTCATCTCAGAGGGGCACCCAGCCATATGAGGTGTCAGATGGCCCCTACTTAGACGTACCTCCCAGTTATGCTACTCGGGGGTCAGGGACCCATTTGAGGAGGCAGTCTGTCCGTTCTCAGATCTCAAACTCCATGCTGGGAGAACCACTACTCACTTCAAAGCTGTCAGACAGGGACGTTTAAGTCTGCAGAAGTTTCTGCTGCCTTTTGTTCAGCTATGCCCTGCCCCCAGAGGTGAAGTCTACAGAGGCAGGCAGGCCTCCTTGAGCTGCGGTGGGATCCACACAGTTCCAGCTTCCTGGCCGCTTTGTTTACCTACTCAAGTTTCAGCAATGGCAGGTGCCCCTCCCCCAGCCTCGCTGCCGCCTTGCAGTTCGATCTCAGACTGCTGTGCTAGCAGTGAGCCAGGCTCCATGGGCGTGGGACCCTCCTAGCCAGGCGTGGAATATAATCTCCTGGTGTGCTGTTTGGTAAGACCATTGGAAAAGCGCAGTATTAGGGTGGCAGTGACCTGATTTTCCAGGTGCCATCTGTCACGGCTTCCCTTGTCTAGGAAAGGGAATTCCCTGGCCCCTTGTGCTTCCTGGGTGAGGTGATGCCTTGCCCTGCTTTGGCTCACGATCCGTGAGCTGCATCCACTGTCCTGCACCCACTGTCTGACAAGCCCCAGTGAGATGAACCTGGTATCTCCGTTGGAAATGCAGAAATCATCACTCATGCTGGGAGCTGTAGACTGGAACTGCTCCTATTTGGCCATCTTCTGGAGTGTTCTTCCATGTCTTAGTTTTTGACAAAAGAAGTTTAACAAGCCAAAAATAAATAAATAAATAAAATAGAAAATTTTAAATAGAAAAAAGTTTATATAATAAAAATATAAAGAAAAAGAAAACCCCATTGTCTCAGCCCAAAATCTCCTTCAGCCGATAAGCAACTTCAGCAAAGTCTCAGGATACAAAATCAATGCACAAAAATCACAGGCATACTTATACACCAATAACAGACAAACAGAGAGCCAAATCATGAGTGAACTCCCATTCACAATTGCTTCAAAGAGAATAAAATACTTAGGAATCCAACTTACAAGGGACGTGAAGGACCTCTTCAAGGAGAACTACAAACCACTGCTCAATGAAATAAAAGAGGATACAAACAAATGGAAGAACATTCCATGCTCATGGGTAGGAAGAATCGATATTGTGAAAACGGCCATACTGCCCAAGGTAATTCATAGATTTAATGCCATCCCCATCAAGCTATCAATGACTTTCTTCACAGAATTGGAAAAAACTACTTTAAAGTTCATATGGAACCAAAAAAGAGCCCGCATTGCCAAGAAAATCCTAAGCCAAAAGAACAAAGCTGGAGGCATCACGCTACCTGACTTCAAACTATACTACAAGGCTACAGTAACCAAAACAGCATGGTACTGGTACCAAAACAGACATATAGATCAATGGAACAGAACAGAGCCCACAGAAATAATGCCACATATCTACAACTATCTGATCTTTGACAAACCTGAGAAAAACAAGCAATGGGGAAAGGATTCCCTATTTAATAAATGGTGCTGGGAAAACTGGCTAGCCATATGTAGAAAGCTGAAACTGGATCCCTTCGTTACACCTTATACAAAAATTAATTCAAGATGGATTAAAGACTTAAATGTTAGACCTAAAACCATAAAAACCCTAGAAGAAAACCTAGGCATTACCATTCAGGACACAGGCATTGGCAAGGACTTCATGTCTAAAACACCAAAAGCAATGGCAACAAAAGCCAGAATTGACAAATGGGATCTAATTGAACTAAAGAGCTTCTGCACAGCAAAAGAAACTACCGTCAGAGTGAACAGGCAACCTACAAAATGGGATAAAATTTTCACAACCTACTCATCTGACAAAGGGCTAATATCCAGAATCTACAATGAACTCAAACAAATTTACAAGAAAAAAACAAACAACCCCATCAAAAAGTGGGCGAAGGATATGAACAGACACTTCTCAAAAGAAGACATTTATGCAGCCAAAAGACACATGAAAAAATGCTCATCATCACTGGCCATCAGAGAAATGCAAATCAAAACCACAATGAGATACCATCTCACACCAGTTAGAATGGCAATCATTAAAAAGTCAGGAAACAACAGGAGCTGGAGAGGATGTGGAGAAATAGGAACACTTTTACACTGTTGGTGGGACTGTAAACTAGTTCAACCATTGTGGAAGTCAGTGTGGCGATTCCTCAGGGATCTAGAGCTAGAAATACCATTTGACCCAGCCATCTCATTACTGGGTATATACCCAAAGGACTATAAATCATGCTGCTATAAAGACACATGCACACGTATGTTTATTGAAGCACTATTCACAATAGCAAAGACTGGGAACCAACTCAAATGTCCAACAATGATAGACTGGATTAAGAAAATGTGGCACATATACACCATGGAATACTATGCAGCCATAAAAAATGATGAGTTCATGTCCTTTGACATGATGAAATTGGAAATCATCATTCTCAGTAAACTATTGCAAGGACAAAAAACCAAACACCGCATGTTCTCACTCATAGATGGGAACTGAACAATGAGAACACATGGACACAGGAAGGGGAACATCACACTCTGGGGACTGTTGTGGGGTGGGGGGAGGGGGGAGGGATAGCATAGATGGGAACTGAACAATGAGAACACATGGACACAGGAAGGGGAACATCACACTTTGGGGACTGTTGTGGGGTGGGGGGAGGGGGGAGGGATAGCATTAGGAGATATACCTAATGCTAAATGACAAGTTAATGGGTGCAGCACACCAGCATGGCACATGTATACATATGTAACAAACCTGAACATTGTGCACATGTACCCTAAAACTTAAAGTATAATAATAATAACAAATACATATATATTTTTGTCCAAGCTTTACAATATGTTCATGTTTTAAGCTAAGTATAATTAGAAGAGTCAAAAAGTTAAAAAGATAAAATTTCACAAAGCAGAAAAGTTACAGTAAGTTAAGTTTATTATTGAAAAAAGAAAAAATATATATAAATGTAGTATAGCCTAAGCACACAGTGTTTATAAAGTCTGCATTAGTGGCTAGGTGTGGTGGCTCATGCCTGTAATCCCAGCACTTTGGGAGGCCAAGGTGCGTGGATCACCTGAGATCAGGAGTTCGAGACCAGTCTGACCAGTATGGTGAAACTCTGTGTCTACTAAAAATACAAAAATTAGCTGAGCATGGTGGCAGGCACCTATAATCCCAGCTACTTGGGAGGCTGAGGCTGGAGAATTGCTTGAACCCGGGAGGCAGAGGTTTCAGTGAGTCAAGATCACGCCACTGCACTCCCGCCTGGGCAACAGAGCGAGACTCCATCTCAAAAAACAAAAAAGTCTACCTTAGTATATAGTAATGTCCTAGGTCTTCTCATTTACTTACTACTCACTCACTGACTTACCCATAGCAACTTACAGTTTTCCTGCAAACTCCATTCATAAGGGCCCTATCCAAGTTTCCATCTTTTATCTTCATATATTTAGACACACAAATACTTACCATTGTGTTATAATCGCCTACAATATTCAGTACAGTAACATTCTACACAGATTTGTAGCCAAGGAGCAATAGGCTATACCAGATGGCTTATGGTGTAGTAGGCGATACCATCTAGGTTTGTGTAAGTACGCTCCATGATTTTTGCATCACAAGGTAACTGTCTAACAGCACATTTCTAAGAATGTATCCACATGACTGCAGTATACAACTATAGTATACATGACTATAGTATACAACTCTCATCCCTCTGCCACCCAAAAAAACCTACAAAACTTTTTTTGGAATATAATTCCATCCCCTAGTATTAAGAGGAATAATGTGATATGGTTAAAAATGTGTACTTGGAATCACATCTTCTAGGATCCATTTCCAGCCCTCACTATGTTTGACTCTGTGACCTTGGAAAAGTTTCCTAATGTGGCTAAGCCCTAGTTTCCTCATACACAAAACTGGAGATACTGATGATACCTACCCAATAGTGTGGTTGTGGATCTTAAGTTGGTTGATGTATATAAAGTACTTTGAACAGATTCTAGCACATGACAAGTGCTTAATAAATGCTAGCCGGTAGTAGTAGACATAGAGGTACTAGAATTCTGTAAATGAATTTTTTTAAAAATTATAAAATCACTAAGAGGAAGACTGATTCAGGGGGCTCTAAGGAACAATATTTACCATGAATATATCTTAGAGAATAATATCCCTATAATTTAAATGTCGACAATATTCTCACAATTAGAATGTCTTGCTCTTCCTTGAGAGAGATCTAGGTATCACACCACAGTGTTCACCATGAAGACTCAAAACCCTGTTAGATACAAAGACAGTTCAATTAAATAAGAGATGTATCTTATTTATATATGTAAATAGTCTAATAGTTATACATCTATATTATACACATGTACATACAATTATACATATATATTACAAATATATACACATATATATTTCCTAGAGTAAGTTACACCCAGAAATCAGGAATATGTTTCAATTTAAAAGGAACAATCAGAGAAAGAGAAGGAACATGAAAATATGCATACTTAGATGTTAAAAATTCAGTGGATCAGAGGTGCAAAACTGCTGAGAGTTGTGAGAATGGGTATAAACTATTAAAAATCAAAAAATTTCATGGTTTAGCAACAATCTGGCTTAATGTTAAGGAATCTCTTTCACTAAAAACTGGGCAGCCTGGAAGCTTAAACAGCGAAAACCAACCAAGGAGAGAATGACTGTAACAACTTTAGGCCGTTATTTTATCATTCCTGTATCTCTGTCTGCTTGGAAGATGAACTCAAGGAATTTTAGCAAAAGAAAGAGACGAGAGAGCCCCTGCATGATTTTTCTCCATCTTTCTAACCTGACTTAACTTGGAAGTAGGAAATATTAAATGATAATGACAAGCTAAAAGATAATTTAAAGACTCCCCTCAACATAAATATGTAATGAGCAATGAACTAAACCTATTCTGTTCCCTCAGTGGCTGTTTCAAAGAACAGAACCTGAGGGTTGAAGTGACAGCTTCCTTCATAATGAGGTAGCAGTTGAGGGAGAAAGGCTACAAGGATTCTAGGCTAAGGTACTCAGCTGCCAAACAATGGCAGAGGTGCCCACTGCAACTGACCCCTGAATATTCCAGCTCGTAAGAAAGGAAGTTCCAGAATTATTGCTTTATCACAGTTAATTGAAAGACAGCAAGAATAAGTGGTATTGAAAAGATACTAGGTTGAGCCTCACTTTTTGTTTCTTTTAAATATTGCTGTTTTAATATGTTCTTATTTATCAGCTTCATGTAGCAGAGTCTTAATAGTATTCATTCCATAAGATCTATTTTTTTTATTTACCTCTGTCTGCCCTTAATGTGTTTCCATCTTTCAACTTGTAAGGCTCAATTGACATTCCACCACAAAGTGCCTTCTTCACCTTGCATCAGTTCTTTCAATACGTAGAAACCAGCCTGAAGCCAGTAGTAAGCCTAAAGGGGGCATTTCTTGCCAATACAATATGATTCTAGTGACAGCTCATAAGATTTGGAACTGAAATAACCTAGCTATTCATCATATTAGGTCAAGACTCTAAAGCCAGAAGGGCTGAAGAGAGGTATGCAAGGTCACATGGCTAGCTCGTGATAGGTTTTAGACTAGAACCAGATTTCCTAATACCTAAACTTACGTGCTTCCCAGGGTACCACCAAACCACACTACCATTCTCGGGGAATAGGAATGAGGAGGTGAAAGAATTTGGCTCTGCAACCTGCTATCAATGTTACTTAGATTGCATGCTGCTTCTGCTGAGGAGTCTGCAACCAAAGACATGTATCTACTTGACTCTTGCCCACTTCGCACAGTTATATAGGATTATAATTAGTGAAAATGTTTTTAGAATGTGTATCAAATGCAATTTCTGTGTCCTCCAACCCCAGAAATTTGCTTGGCTCTACCGTCCTCCTAGATCTTCTGCCATGTGCTCAATGTAGAGCTTCAACCCCTACCACCATTGCCTAACTTCTGAGCATTGTCAGTGTTTCAGTCTCCCCAAAAAAAGGAGCAGGCTCTGGCTAGTCCTCCACGTGCCCAGTGCAGCAAGAGCTACAGCATCGCCAACTCTCACACTCTACCGAGTTGGAACCAAAGAAGCTTGTCCTACTCTAACCATTTCTGGACTCAGTTGAAACGTCTTTGTGTGGCACATGGAATCCAGCCCCCACCAGCACTAACATCCAATTGGTTCACAGAATCCCTGATTCTTCAACATGACATCCCCACAACATCTCTTCAGACCACAGGATTTAAAATATATATGTGTGTGTGTTTGTGTCTGTGTGTGTGTGTGTGTGTGTGTGTGTGTGTGTAAGACAATGGGTTCATGACTATGAGAGCATTGCTAGAAGTACTGCCTGATAAAAGTGAGATAGTCTCTTAAAAGCTCAACTAGAGCCCTAGCTTGGGGCAAACCCATCTCAGGATTGCAGCACTGTCTTTCAGGATGCAGTACCTACATTTAAACAAGGACCAATACATGGTACTATCTTCTCAATAGTTGGAATGCTTGGGAATTAGGTGATACTCTGCACCACCATTCCCAGTGACCCACTTACAAAAATGTATGCTTTCACATGCTAAAAAACTAAGATCTGGAGGTTAAAAATTCTGGGCCCACGAATGGGGTGGTTACTACTTCTCCCAGAGGACATATTGTGTCCACTGATTTGTAAGCTGTGAAAACCACCCGACCACACTGAACTCTTCATGTCAGTGGACAAGCAGGGCAGAAAAAAAAAGAGTTATAGCACTTTATGAGCTAATCAACCCTAATTACAATAGCAAGCTAGGATTGTAACACAATGGGGCAAGGAGGAGAGTGTCTGAAACCTAGGGAATTCACTTTGTTCTCTTAATAGTTTCATGCCCAGTACAATTGTCAGTGGGCAAGCAGTAAACATATCCTAACAAAGGAAATGCAATTAAGAAGTCAGACCTTTAAAAAACCCTTGAGAAAGATGTTGAGTATCAATTATAGCAGCAAGATAAGCAACAACAGAGGGCACTGTAGTCTGACTTAGAGATTATTGTTTTTCAAAGATTGCAATAGGCCACCATCTTAAAAGATGATTTATGATTGGATGGATTTATACCTCCCTTTTGAGGGTGAAATGAGAATACCTCATTCTTACAAAGATGGAGGCCCCACTCTAAACTATCACAAGAGGGTATGAGCTAATCTGAATGCTGCAAGGAGAGGATTATACAAGACGCAATTTATGCGTTTCCCAGATTTGCACAGACTCACCTGCCTTCTGATCCCTTGGCTGTTAGGGGAAACTTGTTGCCTTACCTTCTAACACTACCAGCTGTCTCTGCCACCTCTCAGCATTTGGGTAGGCTGTGCCAGCCGCTATTATACCCACTGAGGAAGGAGCTGCCACAGTTCCAGACTCCAAGCCCAACTCAGGATTCTGGCTTCTCCCACTCTTCCATACTCAGATGAAGTGCCATACCAAGGGATGTAGGATCTGGCTTCTCCACGGACTGTCCAAAGGGGTCAGGTGACAAAATCCAGAAGTGTCGGAGAGGACAGTGAGAAGCTAACAGATTCCCCTCTTCTCCTCCCTCTGCTAGACTGTGCCAAAGTGCCGTGATTTTGTATGGCTTTTCTCATCCACATGATCAAGCTGGCTGTGTTTTTTCATGAAGTCATGCCAGTTTGGTAATGAGCCACTTCGTATTTGCTGTCCCTCCTTCTCTGCCTCCCCATCCTTTTTCCCTCGCTATTGCCATCCTGGGATTATGCTTCCCAGTGAAGTATTATCATGGAAAGTTCTGCCTCGGGCTATGTTTTCTGGAGAGCCCTGGCTAAGACATAAATATTTTGAGTCACTCCTCCAAAAGTACTCCAAAATTCAAGATTACATTCTATGTGCTCCTTTCCCTGAGTTTACCACAAAAAGGGGTATAGCATTATCTAAGGATTCTATTTCAATTGATAAATAGCCTCAATTTATACTTTCAATAAAATAAAAAGTTAGTGTGTCTCAAATGTTATTTGTTCTTCATAATTCTCTGATATGCATTCTATTAAAATTTTTGTCTAAGTGTACTTGAAAGTGTTTTTCTTCTAGCTTACTTTACCAAGCATCTTTTTATAACTTTTAATTTGGCAACACATTGTTTAAGCTTGAAATATTTGTGCACTTTAAAAAAGGTTTGATAGCACATTGTTATGATAAATATATTTTTAAATATCTATCTATAATTCCAAGTTTTGAAAGAGAAATGTGTTCTTAAAATTGCAGAGTATGAGTACACATAAGAATAGAATACTGAATTTTTTTTAATTCCTCCTCTGTTGAAAATGAGCACGTGAGACATCTTTTTGGAGGATAAAATATAAAAAGCAGTGATAGTTGTTGAAATACTGATCCACGACCTCTAGATGACTGAGTAGAGAAAAAGTTACACCATCAAAAGAAGAAAGTTGATCCATTAGCAGAAAAGACTGAAAGACTATCAAATTATAAATAACTAATTTACAAGAAAAATCTAGGAGGTTTTGTTTCAATTTGTTAAATGGAAGCTTTCAGATGTATTTACTAACTAAACACAATGGTAGTGATATAGTGAAAATGAATTATATCTTCATTAATAGAATGTTGAAAGGGCCCAGGGAGACTTGCTAGACCCTAAAGGGGGTCATTGTAGATATTCAGTCTGCACTTGAGGACCGGGTGTTCAAACAACAGGATCTTGTCATAAGTCATTACAACCAAGCAGAGTAAATGAAGAATTCACCAGAATGCAGGCTCTCAAAAGAAGGAAAATAGTAGGCTCTCCTGCTTTTTAAAATACATTTTCTGTTGGATTTTTAAAAGTTGTTTTCCTAAAATGTAGCAGAAAGCTAAAAAGTGCTTTCATGAAGCAGATTCAAACACGACAAAAGGAAACACACAATTCAGAGAGCATCACTTGAAATCTCAGCACAGAGGTGGTGATTCTTACCAATTACAAATTGTAGACTTAAGACTTAGTGAACAGATGTCTACCACTTTGGGAAGTAGCTCATCCACCTTGTTTTCTTCTGGGGAAAGTTGGGTGGACTATGGTATGTGCTCTCCTTTTCAGGTTTGACCCAATGGCCTTTCAGAAAGTCACCAAATCTCTAAGAATGTGAATTACTTTTTTGTGGATTCATTTCATTTGTTTGAGGCAGCCATAGTAAAAACTTTCAAAACTGTTCTAAATGTGATCAGTTTTACGAAAAGGTGACTCCTCAGCTTTAATCAAGTAAAAGTACACAAGCCCACACATCTTTTTCAGAAAATCAGGTCCCTCTGATCTATATAATTGGTGAATATGGTTTATAAAGTATTTAGAAAATCATGTGCTTTTTTATAAAATGTAGTTTTTATATTTAAAATGTGTTTGAAGGGTAGGAAGAAAAAAGTAACTTTGAAATCAGTGGTCTACTTGCTTCAGTAAAGAAAACAATTTTATCTTTAGGAGATAATGATTAGGAGGGCAAAGGAAGAAAGAAGAGAGGATCTGAGTAGGGTGGTTGCCTTGGCCAGAATAAAAATAGAAATAGTCTGTGATAGAAGCTTAGAAATGTAACTGTTGCTGATTGGAAGTTTGGCATCATAGGGAGACAGGAGAGAAAAAGAGAGGAAGGAATAGCATATTTTCTATTTTTATCTGAAATAGGCAACATCAAGCAGTAGCCCTTCTAAAGACTGCTATAAACCAGCTTCCTAAGCTGTGAACTCCTGGAGAACAAAGCCTGTGTCTTCTTTATATCTTTATCCTCAGCCCATGGCACAGTATGTGGCATATAGAAGGCTGATGATAGATGTTTACTGAATGAATAAATGACTGTGCAGCTATTTAGTGAGAGGGAAGCACAACTAAGCATGATATAGAAATGTCAGGAAGTTATCACACAGAGGAAGTTATGTGTCAGTGATTGCCACATATGGAACAGCAGAGAAGCAGCATGGTTTGAGAGGTCCCTTGTCTTTTATCTACTGTCTTTGCCTTTTGACTTTTATGAGACTCCTAATGAAAGGAATCTCATAGCACTTCCTTGTGCTAAGTGAAAGGTTGCTTTGTAAACTTTATATTTTAGTCACTGCTGAAACTTAAAACTCTTTCTTGAAATATTATATTAGCTTCTGAAATGATACCATTAGAGGCTAGGACATTCATGCCCCACTAGTACATTCATGCCTCACTCTTCTTTCCCTGTTTGCTTTATGAGCAGCTCAGTTTGACCCCTATATCAGAGATATGTACATTCAGAATCACATTTACTTTATTTACTTGCACAGCTCACAAACTCATTGCACCCATTTGATTGTGGAATAGCTCGGGAATGTATTCTAGTCACATTTTATGTTTATAATTTAAAAAAATACTGGCTCAAATCCCAACATGTAGAGATAAATCTTCCTCATCTACCACAAAATGTATTCAGTGGCTATTTGTTTGGGATGTTTTCATGTCCCCAAACACCAATTCAGAACAGAACACAGACTAAGTCATTACTTAAAACACAGTTACACTTTAAATTGAGCATTTACGTGACCTTGTAAATTTCTGTTTTCTTCAGGTGACATTCACATGAAGTTTACTATTTAACACACCAGCATGGGAATCTCCTGGATGCAAGCATGAAAAAGCACTGCTCACATTACTGGACACGCCCCATGATGACCCCTTAGCACAAGTGTGCCCACTGCAAGAGCACATGCCAGTTAGCACACGCAAGGGCATACAAATGCAAGTCCTTTTCAGCTGACTCCTGAACTGGCTGACACCTTGGTTTGACACACAATCCTGTTAATCCTATTTCTGACTTGGCTATTCCCCTGTTTATGGCTCCATCTCTCCATTTTGACAAAATACTGCTATAAACAAAGCCCTTTTATTTCTACCCACCAACAGAACCTTTGGGCTCATATACCACCCTGGGGGCGGGGGGAAGTTTCACCACCTTGCAGAAATAATCCGTATGATATTTTGACTTACAAGGGAATACTCCATACAAACCATGCATGTATTAATGCATTAATAGATTATGTTAACCACAGACTTCCTCTATATGACAAATTATCAACCAAATAGTTATATCAGATGCATCCTGTCAACACTCACCTTTAGCCAATTTCATTAACTAAGTATCATAACCATAAAACTGTATGTGTGTGTATATATATATATATACAAACATATATATATACACACATATATACATATATACACATATATACACACACATATATATACACACACACACGCACACACCCAGCTGTGACCTTGCTGTTGTTATAAGATTAGCAGACCCTAACCCAAGCCAGTGACTTCACAGCACAACTCCTCCAGTCGTATGCCCACTCATGAGCCTAATCTCCCTTGGAAGTTCCCTTTTACTTCATCTTGACCTGCTCAATGTCATTGCTCTACTGACACCTACTTATTCTCTCAAGGACAGACTACCCTATCAGACCTAATACACATCAAGGTGCTAAAGCTAGTAAAGCTTATTATAAAACCAGACCTAAAGTTGCTCCATTCTAGTAATGAACAATTATTTATTAATGGTAAAATCTCAGTCATTAGCAAAAAAGATTATGAGGAGATATCCCAGAAAGAAGACCCTTCTCATGGGGCTCTACCTACATCCTCTATATAAAATGATCCTACTTCCTATAATCAATCCCCAGCTTTCCAAGGTGTACTTTATCTATATAACTAAACTCTATGCATCCCTGGAAAACACTGATTGAGTGATAGTCTTTCCTATTCCTGCCATCATTACATTTTTTTTAATCAGGTCCTATTGTTTCCTATTAACCAAATGTCAATTTAAATCATTCAATAAAATAGATATAACATTATTCTAGGATGTACCTGATGAATTTTACAGTGTTCTGCATTCAATAAAATAGCCCTTGACCCACAGAGTCAAGTATTTCATGAAACAAAGCCTGTGATTTAATTGAATAAAATTTTAGCAAATTCCATTTATTTATTTATATGCCACAATGCGATCAAGCAATGTTATTAAACTAAAAGGACTCTTTCCAGATTTGACATTCTTACTGCAGGCCACAGTATATCTCAAGATAAAAACAGTAAACTTTCTTCAGTAGGGCAGAAAAAAGAAAAAAAAAACTTGATTAGTAAGAGTGACTTAAATAGCAAAACCTATCTTTAGCCAGAGTATAAAATGTTCCAGTCTCAAAAGTAATTATCCTAAAAGTAATGGTGAATAAAATTGGATTTAAATGCAATTTTCAAAGTGCATTATCTATTCTAAATTTGATAAAAAGAAAAAACTTGCTAGTTTTCACATCATCCCCTGGTATGTATGATTATTTGCCTCTGTGCCTGCTCTTCCCTCTGTACCACTGTCATTAACCAACTGGCAAGGGTTTTTCAAGACCCTGTTCAAATACTACTTCTTCAGTGAAGTTTCTCCTAACTATGGTGGGACATTAAAGATGGGATAATAGGGATAATTATGTGCTTCATGATGCGCATATGATACAGTAGGAAATACCTACCTCATTTACAAAATAGTATTAGGAAAAGAGTAGAACCTTCATCTACTCGAACTCCTCAATATAACAAGTAGTTTATAAGAGGCATATAGAATAGAAGAAACAGTTAAATGACACCCCAAAGAAGCACTTAGCCAAATCCAGAATGCAGGGCATTCTCCAGGATATATTAGTGGAATTTTTTTTTAAAAACATAAGGTTAGGTAGATAATTATAGAATAAAATATACTGAAGAGACATAACAACCAAGCATAACTGGTGGACCTTGTTTTGGTCCTAATTCCAACAAAACACTATAAAAAGACATATTTGAGACAATTTGAGAAATTTGAATGTGGACTGGAAGATGGCATTTACGTAAAAAACATACTTTTCAATTAGAGATTCCTATTAAGTGAAATGACATGGAATTTGTTTTAAAATACTTAAGCAAAAAAAAAAAACAATAAGGGACTAGATGATAGTTGAAATAAGATTGACAAAACAATGGTAATTATTGAGGTTGCTGAGAGGTATATGAAGGTTTATTAAACAACATTCTCTACTTTTGTGTATCTTTGAAATTTTACATAATAAAATGGTTTAAAAGCTGAAAGGCTATAGTGGGGGAAAAGCCGCAGGACTCTCTTTATACAATGGCGAACAAGAGCCCCACAAGTGTTTATATTCTCAAGTAGGAAAAACAATAATAAGCAAAATTTTTTTACAAATATAAAATATTACAATCTGTTAGTGCTACAGAAGAAAAATACAGTGTGTCATCAGAGTGTGCAATCAAGATTATGCTTGGCTGCCTGCGGGGCTCTGCATGCTTCTCAATATTCAACCCAGACATCCCACCAGCTCTCTGAGTTATCTTGTCCTCACTAGGATATCTGGTTATCCTCTCCTTTTCCCTTCACTCTTATATACCACATACAGTTTTATTCATAATGCCAATTATAATTTACTGCACATATCTAATTACATGTCTTCCCAAACTACATCCACCTCCACCTCCTCCCAAGTTTATAAAGTTCTTAATGGCAAAGACATGATTTGGTCCAGGTCTCTGTTCCCAGGATTCATTTAACTGTGGGTGCATGGAGATACTGGCTGATCCTACCATAAAAAAGCTCCCCCTTCAACCTTTCACCTAATTGTTTTGGTATCCATTGGTAATCATTACCCAGATATATTATTAAAGCAATGTTTTAAAAATAAAAGTTTACTAAAGGCAAGGACATTTATTAAGCCTTCTGTCTGACCCTACACTAAAGCCACAATGTCAGGCCAGATTCCAGGACTCAGATGGACAAAAGGACCTGATCTGGCCCCTGAAACCTCTACTTAATGACTTTATTGATTACATTCCCTTACTCATCTTCACCGCAGACAGGGGTGAGAGTTCCTTTCCTGTCACTTGGAAAACTTATTATTTGAAGTAGAGAAACCTAGATTAGAGTAAAATGAAGCCAAAACTCCTCCAAGACAACAAAGTATCATCTATCTTTCTAGTGTGCCTAGGGGGTTCTGCACCTTACAGAATCTCTGCTTTACCTAGCATGATAACCAAAGGATCCATCCAGTGCTGAGATTGTGGTAACCAGTTAAGATGTTTTTAGCTAGGTACAGTGGCTCATGCCTGTAATCCCAGCACGATGGAAGGCCAAGGCAGGTGGATCACCTGAGGTTAGGAGTTCGAGACCAGCCAGGCCAACATGGTGAAACCCTGTCTCTACCAAAAAATAAAAATAAAAAATTCCACTATTCGGGAGGCTGAGGCACCAGAATCGCTTGACTCCGGGAGGCGAAGGTTGCAGTGAGCAGAGATCACACCATTGCACTCCAGCCTGGGCAACAAGAGCAAAACTCTGTTTCAAAAAAAAAAAAAAGTATATATGTGTATATATATATATATGTTGTTTAAATTTTAATCTTTTTATACATCATATATATAGATTATATATACATAGTAAAGATTTGAACTTAAAGGTTTGCTATACCTCATGGAAAAAAAAGTTCCAATTCCCAATTAAAATGTGTGTATTATATATATTTATATATAATTATATCTAGCAATACAGTGCATGTAGTAATTTTACTTGAGCTAAACCTAAAACTTTATTAATACTGCTGGGAAAAAAAGGGGGAATTTTATTTATAAATACTTCATTGTGTTCAGGCCTGATCATTAGCCATGGATAGGAGAAATTGGGAAAGACATGACTGTGGCAGCAAGCACTCCCCCTACATGCAACCTGAGATTAGAAACAAGGCAAGGACATCCATTCTCTTACCACTTTTATTCAACATTGTACTGGAGGTTCTAGAGAGTGAAATTAGGCAAGAAACAGAAAAAAAAATGGTAGCTAGATTGGAAAACAAGAAGTTAAACTGTCTTTATTTACATACAACATGACAGTGTACAAAGAAAATCTTACAGAGTCTACAAGAAAATGCCTAGAACTAAGGCGTGAGTTTAGCAATGTATGGGATTCAATGTCAGTACATATAAGTCAATCATATTTCTTGTGCATTAGTAATTAACAATTAGAAACTGAATATTTTGAAATAGCATCAGAAAAAATAAAATACTTAGAGAAAGACTGGACAAAAGGTATATAAGGGCTATACAATAGAAATTATAAAACACTATTGAAAGAAATAAAGACCTACAAAAATGAAAGCTATACTGTGTTCATGGATTGAAACTCTCAATCTTGTTACAACGTCACTTATTATAAATTGACCTATATATTAAATGCCATTCCATTAAAATTCTGGAAGTCTTTCTTTTAGAATTTGGCATACTGATTCTAAAATTCATGCAAAATGCGGAGGACATAGAATAGCCAGAGTAACTTTGAAAAAGCACACAGTTGGAAGATTTATATTACCTAAGTTCCAGACTTAACATTAAAGCTACATTAATCCAAAATGTGGTATTGACATAAAAACAGAGAAATAGATAAATCAGACTGAGTAAAGGGTCCAAAAATGGGCCCATGTATATGTGATCGGTTGATTTTCAAAAAAAAAAAAATGCAAACCATTACAGTAAAAAAAGAGGATAGTCTTTCAACAAATAGTACTGGAACTATTCAGAATCCATATACAAAATGATAAACTTCCATCTACACCTACCAATGTAAATAAAAATTAATTCCAAATAAATCATAGGCCTAAATGCAAAGTCCAAACCTATAAAACTTCTAGAAGAAAGTAAAGGAGAAAATGTTCATGATGCTGAATTAGGTAATGATTTCTTAGATACACCAAAAGCATGATGTATAAAAGAACAGATGAATAAACTGGATTTTGTTAAAATTAAAACCCTCTGCTCTTTGAACAACTCTTGGAAGAGAATTAAAGTTATAGACTGAGAGAAAATATCTTAAAATAAAATATCTGAAGAAATACCTATATCAGCATGTTATTTAAAACTCACAAAACTACTCAATAAAACAACAAAACTCAAACATGCAAGATATTTAAGCAAACATTTATCCAAATAATATACATGAATGATAAATGATCCATTTGTATATAAAAAGATAATATAATTAAGTAATTAGGGAAATGCAAATTAAAACTATAATGATAGTTTCGATTTTTAAATGACAGTATGGAAGCAAGGTGGCTCTACTCTCTCCAGCTGAAAACCTAAAACAAATGCACAGCACTAAGGTTTTCAGCAGCAACAATCCAGAACTCAAATATGAGGGTGAGACAGATCCTGGGGCCACAGAGTAGTAAAATACTCAGAGCAGATGGTGAGAGTATTGGACTTTCACCCAAGAATACTGTATACAGAAAAAAATTCTTTAAATATGAAGAAAAGATAATGATTTTCCCAAGCAAAAGCTGAGATAATTCACCACCACCGGACCCATCTTACAAGAAATGCCAGATGGAATTCTTCCATCTGAAAGAAGAAAACACTAACATGAAAAAAGAGAACTTTTCAATGTATAAAACCCACTGGTAAAATTAAGTACATGGACAAACCCAGAATACTCTATTACTGTAATCATGGAGTACAATTCATTCATAACCCTAGTATGAAATTCAAAAGACAAACCTGTCAAGAACAATAACTACAGCAACCAGTTAAGACATAGGTAATGTAAAAATATGTACACTGACACAACTAAGTCAAAACGGGGGGAGTGAAGTTAAAGTATAGAATTTTTGTGTGTTTTTGGTCTTTGTTTCTTTTCCTTTGTTTGGGTTCTAAGATAAGTTGTCATCTCTTTAAAATAATGTTTTATCCCTATAAGATATTTTTATAAGCCTCATGGGTAACCACAACACAAAAACCTTTAATACGTTCATTAAAAATAAATAGCAACAAATTAAAACACACTACCAGAGAAAATCACTAACCACAAAGGAAGACAGTAAGAAGATAGAGAGGATTCTCAAAACAACTAGAAAACAGGCAATGAAATGGCAGTAGTGAGTCCTTACAAAACAATAACATTGAATGTAAATGGTCTCATTTTTTTCAATTAAAAGGCTGAAAGTAGCTGAACGGCATTGCAGGAAGTCAGGGACCCTGAATGGAAGGACCAGCTGGAGCCGCGGCAGAGGAACATAAATTGTGAAGATTTCATTTGAATATGGTCGTTTATCAGTTCCCCAATAATACTTTTATAATTTCTTATGCCTGTCTTACTTTAATCTCTTAATCCTATTATCTTCATAAGCTGAGGATGTACGTCACCTCAGGACCACTGTGATAATTGTGTTAACTGTAAAAATTGATTGTAAAACATGTGTGTTTGAACAATATGAAATCAGTGCACCTTGAAAAAGAACAGAATAACAGAGATTTTTAGGGAATAAGGGAAGACAACCATGAGGTCTGACTGCCTGCGGGGTAGGGCAAAAAGAGCCATATTTTTCTTCTTGCAGAGAGCCTATAAATGGACATGCAAGTAGGAAAGATATCACTAAATTCTTTTCCTAGCAAGGAATATTAATATTAATACTCTGGGAAAGGAATGCATTCCTGGGGGGAGGTCTATAAATGGCCGCTCTGGGAATGTCTGTCTTATGCAGCTGAGATAAGGACTGAGATACGCCTTGGTCTCCTGCAGTATCCTCGGGCTTACTAGGGTGGGGAAAAACCCTGCCCTGGTAAATTAGTGGTCAGACCAGTTCTCTGCTCTCAAACCCTGTTTTCTGTTGTTTAAGATGTTTATCAAGACAATATTATCAAGACAATACGTGCACTGCTGAACATAGACCCCTATTAGTAGTTCTGCTTTTGCCCTTTGCCTTGTGATCTTTGTTAGACCCTTATTAGTAGTTCTGCTTTTGCCCTTTGCCTTGTGATCTTTGTTGGACCCTTACCAGTAGTTCTGCTTTTGCCCTTCGCCTTGTGATCTTTGTTAGACCCTTATTAATAGTTCTGCTTTTTGCCCTTTGAAGCATGTGATCTTTGTACCTACTCCCTGTGCGTACACCCCCTCTCCTTTTGAAATCCTTAATAAAAACTTGCTGGTTTTGAGGCTCAGGTGGGCATCATGGTCCTACCAATATGTGATGTCACCCCCAGCAGCCCAGCTGTAAAATTCCTCTCTTTGTACTCTTTCTCTTTATTTCTCAACTGGCCGACACTTATGGAAAACAGAAAGAACCTACATTGAAATATCGGGGACGGATTCCCCCGATAGAATGGATAAAAAACAAGACCCAACTATATGCTGCCTTCAAGAAAACCACTTCTCCTATAAACATACACATAAACTGAAAGGCAAGAGTTGAAAAAAGATAATTTATTCAATTGGAAACCAAAAAGGAGAAGGAAGAACCATATTTATATAAGATTAAATAGACTACAAATCTATGGTTGTAAAAGAGACAAAGAAGGTCACTATATAATAATAAACGGATCAATACAGCAAGAAGTTATGAAAATTTTAGGATATCTATGCACCCAACACTGCAGCTCCCAAGTATATAAGGCAAACATTAATAAAGCTAAAGGAAGTCATAGACTGCACAACAACAATAGTAGGTTCAATAATAATAATTTGAAAAGATACTGATCTGTTCAAATATGAAGGAGAGAGAAAGCTTTTCCCAGACAAACAAAAACTGAGAGACTACATGAAAGAAGGGAAAAAATGAAGGATAGAGGAAGGAAGGGAGGGAGGGACAAAAGGAGGGAAGATAATCTGGGTATTCTCACACACAAAATATATAAGCCTTGCATGAGGAACACTTGAAAATTCTGATAAATAAAAGATTATATAAATAAATGAAGAGTATTTCCATGCTTTAGAAGGCACATCCTAATAGTATAAAAATACTGGTTTTCCCATATTAATCTCTAAATTCATCATAATTTAAATCAAAATTCCAGTTCAATATTCAATCAATAATTATTTTTGTGGAAGAATAAAATCTAATAAATACCATTTTTATAAGGTTAGGAATTTGAAGAAGCTCTGGATGTCCCTTTGTAAGACAGTAAATTAAATGCTTATCATGGAGTACTACTATATGGATTTTTGAAATCTGGGACTTGATGCACACATAACAATATGGTGGAACTTAAATACACAGTGCTGCAAGAAAAAAAGTAAGAGAAAATGAGATATATAACTCAATGCATTATGAAGCTATAAAATATAAAAAATTGTTTGGGGTGAATGTATATTCTTTTAATTTTGTGAGTACATAGTAGGTGTATATGTTTTGGGGTACATGAGATGTTTTGATACAGGCATGCAATGTGAAATAGGCACATTATGAAGAATGGGGTACCCATCCCCTCAAGCATTTATCTATTGAGTTGCAACAATCCAAATATACTCTTTATTTTAAAATGTACAAGTATTATAGTCACCCTATTTTGCTATCACATAGTAGGTCATGATTTTTTCTAGTTATTTGTACCTATTAACCATCCCCACCTTCCTCCCAGTCCCTCACTACCCTTCTCAGCCTCTGATAACCATTCTTCTACTCTCTATGTGTTAAAAAGGCTTCTGCACAGCAAAAGATACAATTAACAAAGTGTAGAGACAGCCCACAGAATGGGAGAAAACATAAGTTTTGGGTGAATGTATATTGAACACATGTAAACAAATGGCTGCACATTGAACACAATGCAATGGTTACCCAATGTAGGGAGAGACTGGGAGTGAAAAGAGAGGAAGAAAGCAATAAATAAATAAGAGGAAGATTATGTACAGACTAAGAACAATAATCTGTCAAAAACTGAGCTGTTTGATTAACTCAACCCACTGCATCTGAGGTCCTACTAAAAGTAAATAAAGTAATTAACTAAGAAGGAAACACCTTAATGTTTGAAAGATCCTTCTCTGTTGACACCAATTTAGTGACATAAAATTATATTTTCTTCTCTATGGATAAAACAATTTTATTTAGATCTATATTGTATTAGTTTTATATTACTATATAGCAAGTCATGACATCTTAAAACCACATGCATTTATTATTTCAGGTTTTGTGGACCAGGAGTTTGGGCACAGCTTAGCTTGGTCCTCTGCTTAGAGTCTTACAAGGCTGCAATCCAGGTGTTAGCTAAGCCACATTCTCATCTAGAGGCTGGACTGGGGAAGAATCACTTTCCAAGCTCATTCAGTTTGTTGTCAGAATTCATCTTCTTGTGGATGTAAGACTGAGGTTTCTATTTTCTTGGTGGCTGTCAGACAGGGCCCACACAGCATGCGTGCACACACACAAGTATGCATGCACACACATGTGTGTGCATGCTCACACACATACACACCCCTATAATGTTATCACGGGAGTAACATCCCATCACCTTTGCCATATTCTATTCGTTATAAGGAAATCGAAGGTCCCACTCATACTCAAGGAGACAGCATAAACATGGGGGCCACCCTAGTGTCTGTCACATATATGAACAATATTTATACCATCATATGACTATAAATGCTATTTTTAGCTTTTCAATTTTTAGAATAAACCTACAATGTACAGAGTTAATAACAGCTATTAAAACGGGAAAATTTCCCTTGTCCCCCTCACAGGGCATGCAATGGGGGTGTGGCTCGCTTCTTCAGTACCCTGCTGCTCCTACCTCTAGGGCAGCATACGGACAGGCAGACTGTGGGGCTCTGAACCACTGTGAGACAGTGTCTAGGGGTGAATGTTTACAACTGAAGCCCCAATGGGTGTGTGTTACAGGATGCTCTTTTAGTTTAGCCATCCATAGGCAGCTTGTATTAGTCAGCTCAATTAGACCCCTGCCTTATCCCAAGGAGGAGGGCTTCCTGTATCCCGGGGTTCTTGCCTTGGTGTACCAAAAGAATCGGATCACATGTGGGCTTGGAGAATGAGTGCAAGGTTTTATTGAGTGGAAGTAGATCTCAGCAGATGGGGATGCCAGAAGGGAGATGGTTTTCCCCTGGAGTTAGGCCACTGGGTAGCCCCGGCTCTCCTCCAACTGCCCTGGCCAAACTCCGCCTCGTTCCACCAGTGCCAGCGTCTGTCGGTGTGCTCCCGATGTCCTCTCGACAGCCAGCCCCTTGCGTGTTCCTCCGCCGATGTGTTTCTCTCAACATCCAGCCACTTGTGTGTTTGCCTGCTAGGGTTTCGGGGTTTTTATAAGCACAGGATGGGGGCATCACAGGCTAGGGTGGTCTTGGGAAATGCAACATTTGGGCACGAAAATAGGCGTGCATGTCCTCACCCAGGCCCGTGAGCACAAACCTGGGGGTGGAGCCCTAGCCAGGGACCTGCCCAAGAATTCTTTTCTCAGCACTTCTCTGCCCCCTTCCGTTATCACTATTACACAGTTGATAAATAGTAGGAGAGTTGGAAAATACCAAAGATATATTCTAAAGTGACTGAATAAAAAAAAAAGGAGAATGTGTTACTTAAAGTCATAAAGGTAACTACTGGAAAAGCTAAAAATAAGACATAACTTAAAAAATGAGAAGGATTTGCTGGTAGTATAAATGGAATCAATTTTACATCTTTTATAAAGGACGTCCATATTATCTAGTAGTAAACCTAGAAATTGAGTGACAAGATACTATTTGAACGGTAATCACGAGAAGTGAAAACCAGAAACCATTAATGCTTGCTTATGAGGCACAGGCCAGTGGTAGAAACAGGAAAGAGGATATCTTTAATTTTTCATTAGACCCTTCTGCTATAATTAGCTTATTGTTACCATGTCATTATTTTTATATTAGTTTTAATCTTATTTTAAAAATAAGATATTTTAGGGCTGGGCAACATAGTGAGACCTCATCTCTACGCATTTTTTTTTTAATTAACTGAGCATGGTGGCACACACCTGTAGTCCCTGTTACATGGGAGGCTGAGGTGGGAGGATCACTGGAGCCCAGAAGTTCAAGGCTGCAGTGAGCCAGGATTGTGCCACTGTACACCAGCCCAAGTGACAAAGCAAGACCCTGTCTCAAAAAAAAAAAAAATAAAATAAAATAAGAATTGGGTAACAACATATACATCGCCAAATATAAAAGTTAGAAAAAAAAAACAAAGATTATACATACCACCAATCTAATTTCTATACCCACAGAAACTTAATCACAGACAAATTAAATTGTTTATTTTGGGTGACCCAGCTGATTCTAAACAGATCCAGGATTAGAACTTTGGTCTCCTGATTCTAAACTCATTTCCCCATTGTTATATAACATGGTGCTCAAGTGTTTTTAATCAAAAAGCAAGAAAGCTGAGGTCTAGGTTCTAGTTTTAGATATGTCAAGAATATGCTTTGGGCAAATCATTCATTGAACTTCACCTTCCTCATGGATAAACTTCATGATCAGATATAGGTCCATGGTTTTCAGCTTTTTTTAAGCAGCAAAATTTATATATCAAATGAACTATTGGAGTCTTAGATTTAGCGAAAGCTCACAATGAAAGAAAAAAACATCAAACCTGAACTTCTCTCATTGAAGATTTCAGGCTCTCCACAGTCCTAAAAGACACTGGTTGAGACATCTGTGGCTCTTTGGTTCATGTATGTGTAAACTATCAAGCTAGATTCTGATTGATGAACCCAGGGATAGGGCAAAGAGCCTGCATTTCTAACAAGCCCCCAGGGGATGCTAACGTTGCTGGTCTGCTTACCACCTTTAGTCAAGCCACTTGATGAGCTAAATGTCTCTTCTGTGCTTGTGTGAAATTTTATCTTCCTTCTGCTACTTAACATCCATTTTTATGTGCCCCATTGAC
This sequence comes from Homo sapiens, assembly GCF_000001405.40. Classification (NCBI taxonomy): domain Eukaryota; kingdom Metazoa; phylum Chordata; class Mammalia; order Primates; family Hominidae; genus Homo; species Homo sapiens. The sequence goes on along the minus strand of NC_000006.12, from coordinate 101,166,117 downwards.
AATGGAGACCAATCATGAAGAGCATTGCTGGTTCCCAATTTACTACTCAGGGAGCTAACATAAAGAGTCTGAATCTCTGCTGCAGCACCAGAGCACAGGGACAGATAACATAACCTCTGAGTATGATGGATCTGGACTCAACTTTCAATTTTCCCACTTACTGGTTGGGTAACCTTGGCAATTAACTTCATCTCTCTGAGCGTCAGGTTTCTCATCTGTAAAATGGAGATAATAAAAGTAGTGTCTTCTAGGTGGTTGGGAGGATTATAAATGATATTATGCTATAAGGCACTTAGCACAGTGCCTTGACTATAACAAGCATTCAATGAATGTTAGCCATTAGAGGAGCAGAGAGAATATTTCACAGAATTGTTTGTAAAACCTTAACTCTAGTATAAAAGTACCTATGTATAAAGAATTCTATCCTTTGGTTGGTAGACCCAAAGCAAAGTTGTAATGAACAGAGCAAAAGAACAGGAAGGGTTAGGCAACCGAAACAAACTTCATTATTTTCACCGGGGCACTACATGCCCTTTATTAATATATCATATCAGGAAGACAGTGTCTTCATATCATTATAGTTACCCAGTGTTTTGCCAGAAAAGAGTGTTTCTTCTAATGTGTCTTTGTAATAACAAGTTATAAATAAAATACAAAGCAAGAGCAGATCTTTTCTAAGTTATAATTAATTAAATATTTCTTGAAACATTGATTACATCTCCTTAGGGTTTCTGTCACATTTTGCTAATAAAACTCTACTATTGTAAGAAGAAAAAACATATTTTACAATCATCTTCAAAACCAAGTATAAACATTTTCTCCATCGCATAAAAACATATGTCCTCTAGTATCTCCCCCCAGCTCACCATACATAAATCATTTTTAAAAATTTGAAGCTTCTATACTAAAAAAATATAGATTTGAATAGAGGAGATTCTTTCCTGAGAAACATAGTCAAGAATACTGTTTCTTTCTGATTTTCTTTAAAGTAGCACTTCCCAAGAGCTGAGGATAACTCATTGTGTGAGATAGCCTAGGAATTAAGTGATTTGCAGCTAAGGCATGATGCTATATTTTGGGAGAATATTGTGCAAAGATAATCTATCACAAGGTATTTTCACACTAACCTGTAATAATCCTAATGTTACAGGCTCAGCCAAAATGTACTTTAAGAAAGCTTAGCTGTAAGTAAATAGCTAATTTAGAAAATAATCAAAAAAGTAATCTAATAGCAGAATGTGAAACAACAAACAAAAAACAAGCTAAAGCTTCACTGAATAACTATTGAATAAAAGTCACACATATTTTCAAAAATAATGATTAATTTATGAAAAGCGTATGTATAGCAGAAGGGCAACAATGCTGGCAAGAATGGAATAGGTCGAGCCTTAGTGAGATGGAGCTCACCCACATGTTCCAATAAAATGTAGTTTGTTTTCTCATATTCAAGAGGCAATATATTGTCATTTTATAACCTCTAAAGAGCATGTGAAATAATTTACCCCAATTTTACCTCTACTGAGTTGTATGACCTTGGGGAAGTCATTTAATTTCTCTGAACTTTGATTTCTTCATTCATTAAATAAAGGGATTTCCCATTCCAATTAATTTTTTCTATAGTTATAGAAAAATATAAATTTACAAATTTTCTATATTTATCCTGTGCTGTTGTTGTAACCTTATCTTTCACAGGCCTTCAGCAACAAAATTTTAAAAGGTTAAAATAAATTATATTTGAGAAGGAGGGATGTGAGAGAGAGAGAGAGAGAGAGATAGGGAGTTAGAGAGTTCATGCCTGAGAGAATACATATGTGTTGAAAATACAGTGAATATCCATCTTTCTAAAACAATCCTGCAATGTAGTTTGAGTCTTGTATTTACGTTGTTACCTCCTGGAAGAGAAGAAAAACAGTTTCAAAATGACTTTGCACAGTGCCTGCCGTGGTCTCACAGGTATTTAGGGAGTTATGAGGTACCATGCCCATTAGAATTGTTTCTTCCCTAAAGAATTACTCTTCCTTCTCTTCCATGACATTTCTTCCTATTTATTTCCCAAAAGACGCAGTGTCTTATATGCGGTAGGCACTCAATAAATGCTTGCAGAATGGAACTGAATGCTAGCCAAAGTGAAAACAAAGCAAAAGGAGCCGTTTCTCCTTCTTAAATTCTTTCTCCCAGTTCAGTAAGCTTCTTTCTCTTGTTTTGATGCCTCAGTGTCCATCACACCAATGAAGTCTGCAGTTTTTCTAGTTCTCAGCCTGGAAACCTCCTGCAGCTCAGCCACCTGCTTCCTGATACACTTAACCGGTATGCACCTCCCACACCAGATGGCTCCTTTCTCCTGCTTTTGCTTGGCAAGAATTTACAAACATATTTCCATGTGTCCAGGCTGGGACGTGGATGGATACACTCAAGAGTCAAGGATCTGTGTGGGTGTCAGTAGAGGAGGTTCAAACAGCTTTACTGAACTTGGAAGATCTTCATTTCTACACCATTTTAAATTTTCTTTTGTTTTACACTATACTTTTTTTGCATGCAAATACTTTGTTCTAGAAGCTTGGTTTCCCTGAAATTTCATATCTTTTCAAAAATTCCCCAAAATCTGCCTAATAAAACCATATCAGAGAACTGAAAGGATTTCTTGACTCTAAGGCTCATATTAGACCTCACTATTTTGTATAAACCGAACATCAGTCCCAGCCCCACTGTGATAATGAGATTAAGAATGGAGTGCTTCTTTAGGGCAACTGTAATTACAGGTTTCAGAGGGTGGGAGTGAATGGAGGAGGTAGACTTTACACCTGGAAGATCACTTGTAAAGCAATAAGAGCAAGCTTTACTATTCACATTTTAGAGATGCCAATCACTTCACTCCTTCTTTTGATTTACGTTCTTCAAAAGTGAACACAGTTGTTCAAAATGGGAATATAAACACTATACAGTTGGAATTGAAAGAACTTTACTTCCTCTTGGTTCATCTGTTATGGAGGTGAAAAAAGGAAGCAAGTCTACTTCCCCCTAAGTTCTCCAATTCTACAAACTAATATACAAAAGTGGGGCTCTAAGTGGAACATGGTACCCTTGTAAAGGGTAAAGGACAGAAACAAGAATTTAATTCAGCCTCTCTTTAACAACCACCTTCCTTCCCTGAAAAATCAGTGATGAGCCTGGGCCAATTAGCTCAGTTGGTTAGATCCATGATCTCAAAATATAGCACAGAAATAGTGAATTTTTAACATATGTTCATAAATGTATCATGATGTTTATGTTATTGCAGAGCCTAATCTAATAACTGCAGAGTAAACTGCAGTTATTTGTTTATAAAATTTTGAAGAAAACCTTTACTGATAACATCTCAAAACTGTCAGCTTGACCCCTCTGTCCAGTGAAGCTCCTTGGGTTCATTGGATGATTGGTTATACTAGAATTCAAAAGTTGGTTTAGATGGTCCATGGATGTTTTTTGACATTACCAAGGATTCACTCGCATATCTTTGAACCTCACAAAATTATCTTCCACCCACTTGAGAAGGAAATGAGAAAATCAAGAAAGATGATATCCTTGAATAATTTCCACTCCTACACGCATTTCTCTCTCCTTGAGATAATAACCATGGCAAAAACTTTAAGATCAATCAGTTTCACAGCTGGCAGGAGGGAAGAAATCTTGTGTATCCATCATTTTCTTAAACATTCTCCTTTAATTCAAGGCGATCCTTCCATTAAGAATAGTCTACATGTGAATCACAATGTGCCAGCACAGAGTTAAGACTAACACATTGTGAAGATTACTAATACTTGTAGCTGCTTCGCCCCTGTGCTCCCATTGCTGTTGTCTGTCTCCATTATTCCTCACCTGAGCCAGCCTAGTACAATGCCTTTCCTGTGGATCAAAAGTCTGAAGCTAAAAACCAAAAGCTTGAAGGAACAGAAAGTAATGAATATAAACATCACTTTCAGTCACTTTATTCCCTTCCAAAAGCACTGATGCATTCATTTTTATTACTTTCCTAAAGATACGTTCTCTAAATTGCTCTCAAGAAATAGCTGAGGGAAGAAGTCAGGGAAGAAGGTGAGGAAAGAGAGAGAGAAATGAGCCCAAGATTAAAGGCTGGTGTTCTGAGTAGGCAGTGTTTATGGCTGCCAACTACTGTCCTTTCAGAAAGTCTCCTCTGCCCCTTAAATTTCCTTTCCCACAAGTTTACTAAGGTTTAAAATGCCTTATTCAGACTTGTATGAGTGAATTTAAAATGTTAGGTCCTATTAAAATACAATTGCAAACACATGCAAATTTTAAATGACTTATTAGACCCATTCATAAGAATAGATTTGTTAGCAGTAATGGAGGAAAAATGTGAGAAAGCTAGGGATGAGTTTTTTAAAAGGTGGGGTTGGGGAGAAAACACAGAAAGATTACTTGGCATGTCATAGATAAACTGTTACTGCCTAACTTTGAAGTCAACATTGGGTTTTTCAGTTAACAGGAAATAAATTTGCAAATTATTATCCTATATTCATATTACTTTCCTTCTCTCTCATCTCAGAGCAGTGGTAAAATGGGCAGACTCTAGCATTAGAGTGCCTGCTTTGAAGCCTGGCTCTGCCAGTTACAATCTATGTGACTTTGGACATAAATAACATCTGCCAGTCTCAATTTCCTCATCTATAAAAAGGGTATAATAACTGCCTATTGCATAAAAATGAATGACATGTTGCACAGAAAAATGCTTGGTTCAGTGCTTGCCAAATTAAAAAGCTCCAAAAAGTGTTCTTCATTATTACTTTCATATGGGAATACAATAAAGAAACAGAGAAATTGTGTAAGAAAATTAGGTAGTAAAGATATTACTTTAAAAAATTATTCCCATTTGATATTAATATCCCCCATAAGCTCAATAATAAATTTTGGTTTGCTTTCCTTGACTAATAATCATCATCATTTACTGAGCATCTATTAAGTGCAAAGCACTGTGCTATTTACTATATGCATTTATATTTAATCTAAGACACAGTACTCTGAAGAAAAGCCCATTTTTAATTAATTTTAACACAGCAACCTACTTTCTAGGAATTTTCCTAAGAAAAAAAATTAGACCTATGCACAGAAAGTTATGTATAATTTTGTTCACAAAAGTATTATCTATAACTGCCAAAACAAGAAGAAAACCTAGATGTCCAACAATGTAGAATTAGGTAAATAAGAATGTTTGCCTTTCTAATGAAATATTATTAAGCTTTTTCAAAATATATTGTAGAGAAATATTTAATGACATGGAAAATTATTCAAAATATATAAGCAAAAAAGCATCTTATAAAACATTGTAATGTTATTTTATTTGTGTAAATATTGACAAGAATGTAGTCCAGAGCCTAAATTAAAAGACACTTGTCAAACATATGTAAATCCAGAAAACAAATACAGTAAGAATGTTTAATGCTACCAATGGTTATGTAGGGGTAAAAGGATTACAAATATCTTTGATTTTTTTTAATTTGTCTGAAGTGTCCAAATTTTATATAACAAACATATATTACTTTTGTAATTTATAAAAGCAAAAAGAGACATTCTGACCATCTCAATAGACCAGTAATTCTAAGAAGCTTGGCAGAGGGGAAGCATTTTACAGGAGACAAGGCTGAAAATCCTATAAACAGGTGAGCAAGGGCTTTAAAGTTGAGGGTGGGAAGCAGAACCTATACAAACTCCCTTAGTAGGACAGAGGGGAGCTGCAGCTGCCATCAGCTGGTTCTTCAGGCATGAACCAGGAAGTAGCTGCTAAAAGTTCCAACCCACCTGGGACATTCATTGATGTCAAAAAAATCAATGGCTAATGTAGCTGCTCAAAGCATACACACAATCTTCATCATGTTGTTCAATGTCCCTTACATAAGATCCCATATGATGAATTCCTTTTGGAATTTAGTGCCAGAAGGAACTTTGTCTTCCCTAAAGAAGCAGTATAAATGAAGGCAGTGTAGCATGGTTGTGAGAGTGTGGGCTCTGAGCAAGAGTGCCCAGTTTGTTCTAAGCATCTCTCTGCCACTTATTACCTTAGTGATCTTAGCCAAGCTACTTACCCTATTTAGCCCAGGTGTCTGCATTTGGGAAATTAAAGTTACAGTAATAACTACTTAATGAGCTCTAATGAGGACTAAATGAGATTCTACATGTGTAATATTCATTAATATTGTCTAGTTTGATTATTGTTATTGGATAATGAGGCTTATATGGATATATGGGGGCATTATATTGAATAATGAGGCTTATTTGATCCACAGTCTTTCCTTATTTGTACTGGCTTCCAGAAAGTACTGAATAAAATTTAATCTTCAATTATATTCACTACCTCATACCTCATAAATAGGCTATTTGCTTACTTTGCTTTCACAAGATTTTACTTTTCTGTGTTTGGACATTATCATACATTTAAAACATTTATCACAAAGTGACTCATTATTTTCTGAAGGAGGCAACTCTACTTTAAAGAATCTTTACTTCATTTCTCTTTCTAGTACCACCTTATCTCATCTACTGCATACTCAAACTTCGTTTTCCATGCTTACTGTTGACTTCATTTCTCTTCAAACCTCTCCAATCGAATTTTGCTCCACTGTAACCCAATCACATCACTGAAGTATCTCACTCTAAGGTCCCCAATGGCATCTGAGTACCTAATCCACTGGATATTTTCAGTGTTTTTCTTATTTGACCTCTCTGTACTTGACCACACACAGTACTTACTACCGTGGATCACTCCCTTCCCTTTGAAACATTCTCCTTCCTTTGCTCCCATGATGCCCCTCACTTAGTTTTTCTTCAAAAGTCTCTGGCTCTTCCTTATCTAGCTCCTCTACTGGCTCACTCTCCCTAAGTTGGCCATTAAATATTGATATTTTCAAGTATCAGGCTTAGTCCCTCTTCTCTTTGTACTCTATAGATATATTAGCCATGTATAGATCTGCCTGGGATTTTATCTTGCTCATGTTATAATACATCTGATGATTCCCAAATTATCTCCAGCTCCAGACCTGTGTATTCAACTACCTACCAGATTTCTCAACTTAGATGACTCAAAGCCAATTTTAAGTTCAGTTTTCTTAAAACCAAAATAATCATTTCCCCCATAATTTTTTAATGGTTTAATGAATCAACAAAGGAACCAAAGGAGTCACTTTCTCTAATTCTACAATGAGTATTTCAATAAATCTTACATAATTTACTTCTCTCTCTTCCCCTGCAACTAATTTAGTTCAACCTACTATTACATCCTACCTGGACCATTGTAGTAGCCTCTTAATTGGTCTCCCAAGATCAAATTTTGCCTGTCTCAAAATCATTCTCCATACATGTCAGAGTAATCAGTTTGAATACAATCAACTATATCTCCCACGTTTTTTACTGATACATGATATTTGTACATATTTGTGGGGTACATGTGATAATTTGCTACATGCATAAAATGTGTAATGATGTAGTCAGGATGTTTAGGGTATCTATCACCTTATCATTTCTATGTGCTGATAACATTTCAAGTCCTCTCTTCTAGCTATTTTGAATGTACAAAATATTGTTATTAACTATAGTCTGCTATCAAACATTATAGCTTATTTCAATGTAACTATATTTTTGTACCCATTAACCAGCCCTCTTTACCCACTCCCTCACCATCCACAGGCCCTTCTCAGCCTCTGGTATCCCTCATTCTTTTCTCTATCTCCATTGATCAACTTTTTAAGCTCCTACACATGAGTGAGAACTTGTGATATTTGTCTTTCTGTACCTGGCTTATTTCACTTAACATAATGACCTCCAGTTCCATCCATGTTGTTGAAAATAAAATGATTTCGTGGGGTGGAGCCAAGATGGCCGAATAGGAACAGCTCTGGTCTACAGCTCCCAGCGTGAGCAACACAGAAGACGGGTGATTTCTGCATTTCCATCTGAGGTACCGGGTTCATCTCACTAGGGAGTGCCAGACAGTGGGCGCAGGTCAGTGGGTGCGCGCACCATTTGCGAGCCGAAGCACGGCGAGGCATTGCCTCACTCAGGAAGCGCAAGGGGTCAGAGAGTTCCCTTTCCTAGTCAAAGAAAGAGGTGACAGACGGCACCTGGAAAATCGAGTCACTCCCACAAGAATACTGCGCTTTTCTGATGGGCTTAAAAAATGGTGCACCAGGAGATTATATCCCGCACAAGGCTTGGAGGGTCCTACGCCCACGGAGTCTTGCTGATTGCTAGCACGGCAGTCTGAGATCAAACTGCAAGGCGGCAGCAAGGCTGCGTGAGGGGCACCCACCATTGCCCAGGCTTGCTTAGGTAAACAAAGCAACCGGAAAGTTCGAACTGGGTGGAGCCCACCACAGCTCAAGGAGGCCTGCCTGCCTCTGTAGGCTTCACCTCTGGGGGCAGGGCACAGACAAACAAAAAGACAGCAGTAACCTCTGCAGACTTAAATGTCCCTGTCTGACAGCTTTGAAGAGAGCAGTGGTTCTCCCAGCATGAAGCTGGAGATCTGAGAACGGGCAGACTGCCTCCTCAAGTGGGTCCCTGACCAATGACCCCTGAGCAGCCTAACTGGGAGGCACCCCCCAGCATGGGCAGACTGACACCTCACATGGCCGGGTACTCCAACAGACCTGCAGCTGAGGGTCCTGCCTGTTAGAAGGAAAACTAACAAACAGAAAGGACATCCACACCAAAAACCCATCTGTACATCATCAAAGACCAAAAGTAGATAAAACCACAAAGATGGGGAAAAAACAGAGCAGAAAAACTGGAAACTCTAAAAAGCAGAGCGTCTCTCCTCCTCCAAAGGATCACAGTTCCTCACCAGCACAGAACAAAGCTGGATGGAGAATGACTTTGACAAGCTGAGAGAAGAAGGCTTCAGACGATCAAATTACTCCAAGCTATGGGAGGACATTCAAACCAAAGGCAAAGAAGTTGAAAACTTTGAAAAAAGTTTAGAAGAATGTATAATTAGAATAACCAATACAGAGAAGTGCTTAAAGGAGCTGATGGAGCTGAAAACCAAGGCTCGAGAACTACGTGAAGAATGCAGAAGCCTCAGGAGCCGATGTGATCAACTGGAAGACAGGGTATCAGTGATGGAAGATGAAGTGAATGAAATGAAGCGAGAAGGGAAGTTTAGAGAAAAAAGAATAAAAAGAAATGAGCAAAGCCTCCAAGAAATATGGGACTATGTGAAAAGACCAAATCTACGTCTGATTGGTGTACCTGAAAGTGATGGGGAGAATGGAACCAAGTTGGAAAACACTCTGCAGGATATTATCCAGGAGAACTTCCCCAATCTAGCAAGGCAGGCCAATATTCAGATTCAGGAAATACAGAGAACACCACAAAGATACTCCTCGAGAAGAGCAAGTCCAAGACACATAATTGTCAGATTCACCAAACTTGAAATGAAGGAAAAAATGTTAAGGGCAGCCAGAGAGAAAGATCGGGTTACCCACAAAGGGAAGCCCAACAGACTAACAGTGGATCTCTCGGCAGAAACTCTACAAGCCAGAAGAGAGTGGGGGCCAATATTCAACATTCTTAAAGAAAAGAATTTTCAACCCAGAATTTCATATCCATCCAAACTAAGCTTCATAAGTGAAGAAGAAATAAAATACTTTACAGACAAGCAAATGCTAAGAGATTTTGTCACCACCAGGCCTGCCCTACAAGAGCTCCTGAAGGAAGTGCTAAACATGGAAAGGAAAAACTGGTACCAGCCGCTGCAAAATCATGCCAAAATGTAAAGACCATCGAGACTAGGAAGAAACTGCATCAACTAATGAGCAAAATCACCAGCTAACATCATAATGACAGGATCAAATTCACACATAACAATATTAACTTTAAATGTAAATGGACTAAATGCTCCAATTAAAAGACACAGACTGGCAAATTGGATAAAGAGTCAAGACCCATCAGTGTGCTGTATTCAGGAAACCCATCTCATGTGCAGGGACACACATAGGCTCAAAATAAAAGGATGGAGGAAGATCTACCAAGCCAATGGAAAACAAAAAAAGGCAGGGGTTGCAATCCTAGTCTCTGATAAAACAGACTTTAAACCAACAAAGATCAAAAGAGACAAAGAAGGCCATTACATAATGGTAAAGGGACCAATTCAACAAGAAGAGCTAACTATCCTAAATATATATGCACTGAATACAGGAGCACCCAGATTCATAAAGCAAGTCCTGAGTGACCTACAAAGAGACTTAGACTCCCACACAATAATAATGGGAGACTTTAATACCCCACTGTCAACATTAGACAGATCAACGAGACAGAAAGTTAACAAGGATACCCAGGAATTGAATTCAGCTCTGCACCAAGAGGACCTAATAGACATCTACAGAACTCTCCACCGCAAATCAACAGAATATACATTTTTTTCAGCACCACACCACACCTATTCCAAAATTTACCACATACTTGGAAGTAAAGCTCTCCTCAGCAAATGTAAAAGAACAGAAATTATAACAAACTGTCTCTCAGGCAGCAGTGCAATCAAACTAGAACTCAGAATTAAGAATCTCACTCAAAACCGCTCAACTACATGGAAACTGAACAACCTGCTCCTGAATGACTACTGGGTACATAACGAAATGAAGGCAGAAATAAAGATGTTCTTTGAAACCAACGAGAACAAAGACACAACATACCAGAATCTCTGGGACACATTTAAAGCAGTGTGTAGAGGGAAATTTATAGCACTAAATGCCCACAAGAGAAAGCAGGAAAGATCCAAAATTGACACCCTAACATCACAATTAAAAGAACTAGAAAAGCGAGAGCAAACACATTCAAAAGCTAGCAGAAGGCAAGAAACAACTAAAATCAGAGCAGAACTGAAGGAAATAGAGACACAAAAAAAACCTCCAAAAAATTAATGAATCCAGGAGCTGGTTTTTTGAAAGGATCAACAAAATTGATAGACCGCTAGCAAGACTAATAAAGAAAAAAAAAAGAGAAGAATCAAATAGACGCAATAAAAAATGATAAAGGGGATATCACCACCAATCCCACAGAAATACAAACTACCATCAGAGAATACTACAAACACCTCTACACAAATAAACTAGAAAATCTAGAAGAAATGGATAAATTCCTTAACACATACACCCTCCCAAGACTAAACCAGGAAGAAGTTGAATCTCTGAATAGACCAATAACAGGAGCTGAAATTGTGGCAATAATCAATAGCTTACCAACCAAAAAGAGTCCAGGACCAGATGGATTCACAGCCGAATTCTACCAGAGGTACAAGGAGGAACTGGTACCATTCCTTCTGAAACTATTCCAATCAATAGAAAAAGAGGGAATCCTCCCTAACTCATTTTATGAGGCAGCATCATCCTGATACCAAAGCCGGGCAGAGACACAACCAAAAAAGAGAATTTTAGACCAATATCCTTGATGAACATTGAAGCAAAAATCCTCAATAAAATACTGGGAAGCCGAATCCAGCAGCACATCAAAAAGCTTATCCACCATGATCAAGTGGGCTTCATCCCTGGGATGCAAGGCTGGTTCAATATATGCAAATCAATAAATGTAATCCAGAATATAAACAGAACCAAAGACAAAAACCACATGATTATCTCAATAGATGCAGAAAAGGCCTTTGACAAAATTCAACAAGGCTTCATGCTAAAAACTCTCAATAAATTATGTATTGATGGGACGTATCTCAAAATAATAAGAGCTATCTATGACAAACCCACAGGCAATATCATACTGAATGGGCAAAAACTGGAAGCATTCCCTTTGAAAATGGCACAGGACAGGGATGCCCTCTCTCACCACTCCTATTCAACATAGTGTTGGAAGTTCTGGCCAGGGCAATTAGGCAGGAGAAGGAAATAAAGGGTATTCAATTAGGAAAAGAGGAAGTCAAATTGTCCCTGTTTGCAGACGACATGATTGTATATTTAGAAAACCCCATTGTCTCAGTCCAAAATCTCCTTCAGCTAATAAGCAACTTCAGCAAAGTCTCAGGATACAAAATCAATGCACAAAAATCACAAGCATTCTTATACACCAATAACAAACAGAGAGCCAAATCATGAGTGAACTCCCATACACAATTGCTTCAAAGAGAATAAAATACTTAGGAATCCAACTTACAAGGGACGTGAAGGACCTCTTCAAGGAGAACTACAAACCACTGCTCAATGAAATAAAAGAGGATACAAACAAATGGAAGAACATTCCATGCTCATGGGTAGGAAGAATCAATATTGTGAAAATGGCCATACTGCCCAAGGTAATTTACAGATTCAATGCCATCCCTATCAAGCTACCAATGACTTTCTTCACAGAATTGGAAAAAACTACTTTAAAGTTCATATGGAACCAAAAAAGAGCCCGCGTTGCCAAGTCAATCCTAAGCCAAAAGAACAAAGCTGAAGGCATCACACTACCTGACTTCAAACTATACTACAAGGCTACAGTAACCAAAACAGCATGGTACTGGTACCAAAACAGACATATAGATCAATGGAACAGAACAGAGCCCTCAGAAATAACACTGCATATCTACAACTATCTGATCTTTGACAAACCTGAGAAAAACAAGCAATGGGGAAAGGATTCCCTATTTAATAAATGGTGCTGGGAAAACTGGCTAGCCATATGTAGAAACCTGAAACTGGGTCCCTTCCTTACACCTTATACAAAAATCAATTCAAGATGGATTAAAGACTTAAACGTTAGACCAAAAACCATAAAAACCCTAGAAGAAAACCTAGGCATTACCATTCAGGACATAGGCATGGGCAAGGACTTCAGGTCTAAAACACCAAAAGCAATGGCAACAGAAGCCAAAATTGACAAATGGGATCTAATTAAACTAAAGAGCTTCTGCACAGCAAAAGAAACTACCATCAGAGTGAACAGGCAACCTACAACATGGGAGAAAATTTTCGCAACCTACTCATCTGACAAAGGGCTAATATCCAGAATCTACAATGAACTCAAACAAATTTACAAGAAAAAAACAAACAACCCCATCAAAAAGTGGGTGAAGGATATGAACAGACACTTCTCAAAAGAAGACATTTATGCAGCCAAAAAACACATGAAAAAATGCTCACCATCACTGGCCATCAGAGAAATGCAAATCAAAACCACAATGAGATACCATCTCACACCAGTTAGAATGGCAATCATTAAAAAGTCAGGAAACAATAGGTGCTGGAGAGGATGTGGAGAAATAGGAACACTTTTACACTGTTGGTGGGACTGTAAACTAGTTCAACCATTGTGGAAGTCAGTGTGGCGATTCCTCAGGGATCTAGAGCTAGAAATACCATTTGACCCAGCCATCCCATTACTGGGTATATACCCGAAGGACTATAAATCATGCTGCTATAAAGACACATGCACACGTATGTTTATTGCAGCATTATTCACAAGAGCAAAGACTTGGAACCAACCCAAATGTCCAACAATGATAGACTGGATTAAGAAAATGTGGCACATATACACCATGGAATACTATGCAGCCATAAAAAATGATGAGTTCACGTCCTTTGTAGGGACATGGATGAAATTGGAAATCATCATTCTCAGTAAACTATCACAAGAACAAAAAACCAAACACCGCATATTCTCACTCATAGGTGGGAACTGAACAATGAGAACACATGGACACAGGAAGGGGAACATCACACTCTGGGGACTGTTGTGGGGTGGGGGGAGGGGGGAGCGATAGCACTGGGAGATATACCTAATGCTAGATGATGAGTTAGTGGGTGCAGCACGCCAGCACGGCACATGTATACATATGTAACTAACCTGCACATTGTGCACATGTACCCTAAAACTTAAAGTATAATAATAATAAATTTTAAAAAAAGGAAAATAACATGATTTCATTCTTTTTCATGACCAAATTCTATTCCATTGTGTATATATACCACATTTTCTTTATCCATTCATCAAACAACTCAACAGTAAAAATATCTCTCCCATGTTTTAAGTCCAGTGCTCTAAGACTAATGTAGGCTTAATTTGACCTACCAGACCTTGGATGATCTTGACCCTATTTATAGCTTCACTCTCATATCACATTGCTCTCCCTCCTGTTTTCTTTGACTCAACCTTACTGATCTCCTCCAAGTTCCTTGAACTTAATACCAGATTCTTGTTCACCTTGAGGCTTTTGATGTGCTTATTCTTCTGCCTAGACTGCTGTTCCACAACTCCCTCTCCCTCTTTCATATTTGATTCTTACCCATTCTGATTTCCTAGCAAATGTTATTTTTCAGGGAAGCCTTCCCTATATCTCCACAGGCCTGCATCAGATCTTCCACTACATATTCTTCCAGCGCCAAATGTCTTCCCTCCATAGCCCATTCTGTGTTTACAGTGATGCAATTATGAGATTATTTAAATAATCTCTTTCCCCACTACTATATTATAAACGTTCTGAAAGCAAAGCCCATTTCTACTGTGCTCACCAATATTATTTCAAAACCTAGCAGAGCACAGGGTATCCAATACATAGTAGCTGGACAGATGAACAGCACATTTTACTCATCCACTTATTTCCATTCCTACTACCTCTCCTAAATCAGGCATGCATTATCATTTTTCTAGGCTCTGCAATAACCTCCTAACTAGAATTTCCCCCTCCCAGTCTCTTCTCCCTTTGGCACACTTTACAATTCACTACCAGATTAATCTTCCGGAGCACAGCTCCGATCATTTCATTCCCAGCTCGAGAAACTCAAGTAATTTTCCATTGTCCACATAATAAAATCCAAATTCCTTTTGGCCTGTAGCTGACCTTTCCATCTTTCCATTCTTACTTTCCCACTAATCTTCACATGCACTATGCTCTGGTCAAACTAAACTATGTACATTCCATGATACTTTTATCATTTTTGTGCCACACACTGGATCCTGTTTTCATATTGTTTCCTCCATCTAAAGTATTTTAATAATGCCTCCACCATGTCCACATATTCAAAATGTATGATCATTTAAACCTAGTCAAAATCTAATTCCTATAAGAAGTACTTTAATTTCTTCCAACTAGAAATATCTCTCTTGCTTTTGACTTCCCATCCTTTCTTTCCTATACCTCTGTAATGAAGCTTGTCATTTTCTATCACTACAAATACTTATTATGTGCATGCTCCACCAGACTGCAAACTCTTTGGAGACAAGACTGGATCACCCAATCAGTGCCTTGTACATTGGAAGAACTGTAAAAATGTTCACTGAAGTTTTTACTTATGTGAATTATTTCAGTAAGATGCCCTTTAAGGATTATTGTATAATTAGAAAGAGGAAAATCCATCCACATCACCTCCTCTTTGTAGACAGAAGTTTGTTTTCATTGTCCTAGCAGGTAATTTTCTTTGTGCACTCAAATTCTTCTAATTACTAAATTGGCAAAAAAAAAAAAAAAAAATGATATGGGGAAAATTATACTATTAGTTGTTTCCTTCTCTTTGGATTAGAAGTTCAGGAAAATTCTGCAGCTACAGATCCTTTTGACAGAATATAATTATGGCCTATAGTTCTTTATCTGTTTCTTGTTAATTCCATTTGGAGGATCATGCTGGCAATTGAAATTCTCAGTTTTTCTTTTTGCCTGAGCTACTGTTTCCAGCTAGCTTGGACAGCTCATGCTGTGCAGCCAAGCCACCTCTCTCAATGGGCTCCTGCCTCCCCTTTTAAAGTTAGGAGGCATACTAGGGAAAGAAAGTGCCTTTCCTTGACAAATTTAAAGCATTTAAAGGCAGAAGGAGGGAATTAACCCATCAGCATAACAATGTGTACTGTTGTCACAATTTTATCCTTGAAAGTTCAAATCAAGTGAACTCTAGATAAATGAATTCAGATGAAGAGACCTCATAATTATGGCTGTAAATGTGTTTTGTACCTTTAATGTGTTCATAGAAATATAAAATATTGTTAATACTAACTACATATGATCCAAAAGTCTAATTCAGTTACAATATTGAATTGTGTTTGAAGGACGTATTATATATTGTTTGAGAACCTAGAATTTTTGACTGGGAGTGATTTCATTTCGGCCTATTGTAAAGGACACCACAGTGGAAGCCAGAAAACCTTTGTTCTACTTAATGATCATGTGTTCCCAGGAAGAGTGCTTAACCTGTCTGAGCTGCAATTTGTTCTCCCTGAAATCAAAATGATAATATCTAATCTATCTGCCTCTCTGGATATTTGTAAGAGTTCAATGAGAACAAATGAAATACTATATATAAAGGTATGTTGTGAGCTGAAAACACATGATTTTAGTAAGACATTTTCAACTTAATGTAGTTAATATATTGCATGAAACTCAAATATTTCCAAAAATATTTAACATAAACCACATTTTAACTTTGTCCATATAATAGCATACCTTCATACATAATTGAATATAACCTTGCCCTATTTCTTCAAATAACTTTTTCTTTGGGGTTAGTAAGGCCAAGACCTATTCCTACAAGGTTGAAATTAATCCTCTTTTTCTCTTCACCTTTTCCAAATTTTCAACATTTAATTTAAGCTGCTAACATTAGTAGTAGACAGACTGAGCCAATGGATATCAGTTGATGGTTGAGCTTAATGATAATACCAGCCCACTAATTTTCCTTCATGCAAATTTTAAAACTGCTTGTATTAGCATCATTCATTCAGTAGCATTTATTGAGCACCTATTATGTGGAAGGCAGTAAAGAAGGCATTTATTACATAGAATGCAAAGTTATGTTTGATACTGGCTTGTCTTTCCAGGAGTATACAGATCTAGTAAAGGAGATAAAACATTCAGACAGATAATAATGTCAGTTTCTACAAAGAATAGATAATTTTTTTTAATCTGTGGAAGCTTTATTCTGAGAAAGTAACTTTACTTCATGATGTTCCAGGAATCTTACTTGCAAGAGTAATTTCATTTATCTCAAGAGTGGTCATATACCTGTGTGCTGGAAGTCCTAGGCTACCAGTGTTTATCTTTCTTCATATGTTTAAATGACATTCTTCTTTCCCAAGACCTGGGTATGTCCTGAATCTAATCAATGCTTCCCAGACTGTGTTTCTGATTTATTATCAGGCATGAGACAGTGATGCTTCTGGTATAATCAAAATGTCCAACATCACTGACTCCAAGTGAAAATATAACCCAATATGATATTTTAAAGTCAAATCAAAATTTAGAAATCCCACTCAACTTCTTTTATTTTACAGATTTGAAAAGTTGAAGCCGAAAGAAATTCAGACTAGCCTGAGGTTCCACAAGTAATTAGTAATTTATCTGTGACTCTCTGTCCTCCCAAGGTAGTGTCTTTTCTATGTGTCCAAATTAAGAACCTTTCAGATAAAATTACAGATATCTCAGTATTTATTGACCTTTTTTTTTCCTTTTTACACTTCCACTGTCCTTTTTACCAAGATCTACACAGGACTGCATCTTTTCCACAAAAACTTCATAGATTGTTAGTTCAAAGAAGCTGGTACCATGAATTGAATCCTAATGCATAATGAAGTGATTGGACATGGCACTTAATTGCCTTTTAACACATTAAATAACAGCTTCAAACAAACAGGTAATTGTGATTATTTTCAAACAATGCATGACAGCTGAGAGAAATCATTCCTTTTTTAATTCAATTTACATTTACATATAATGAGCTTGATATATTAAGACAATTATATTGACTCACCCAAAAATAAAAGTAATATCACTATGCTTATCTTAGAGTTTATTTTTATATTTTTAGGATTGAATTTATTTTTATCCAGATCCCAAATAACCACTCAATTGACCATACCTCTTTTGCTGTACTATGCTAATTAATTGTGGATTTTTTTTTTTTTTTTTTTTTTTTTTTTTTTTTTTTTTTTTTTTTTAGACGGAGTCTCGCTCTGTCGCCCAGGCCAGACTGCGGACTGCAGTGGCGCAATCTCGGCTCACTGCAAGCTCCGCGTCCCGGGTTCACGCCATTCTCCTGCCTCAGCCTCCCGAGTAGCTGGGACTACAGGCGCCCGCCACCGCGCCCGGCTAATTTTTTGTATTTTTAGTAGAGACGGGGTTTCACCTTGTTAGCCAGGATGGTCTCGATCTCCTGACCTCATGATCCACCCGCCTCGGCCTCCCAAAGTGCTGGGATTACAGGCGTGAGCCACCGCGCCCGGCCTAATTGTGGATTTTAATAGTAAAAAATCTTCTAACACAATCCCTTTAAAAATGATTTTTGCTGAATAAATAAGTTAGTTGATAACAGAAGTTATTCATGTTGAGAATTTAGAAGACTATGAAGTCAGGAGAAAACAAACATTTAATAAATTCTTAAATGTGTATGTTAACATCTCTGATCAAGTCAATGCATTCCTTTGTCATGAAATGAATTTAGGGTCTACTACTTCAAAAGAGAATTTTCCCCCTTCCTTGATATTTTAATACTGCATTAACTTTGTCATAATCATTTAGACTTTCTTTATATTCTCATCTTTTAATCATATATGACCATTGCTGGCTTGAAAAACTCACTTAAACTTGACTCCTGATGTTTCTCTCAAAATCTGTCATAACAAAAGTTCTAAAGTAATGTTGAACTCTTTGTTTTTAGCAATATGTAAGAAGCACTTCATCCTTCCCCTGAAGAAACTTATTTGAAGATAGTAGGAGATTTGCAATAGGAGAAACAGAAGAGAATTAAAATTTACCTTTAAGAGTGTCTGTAAATGAGCGCAAAAATGAGATAAGAGACCAAGACAACCTCAGACTTTTCAACTTCATAGCCATGTCAATTTTATCACATGCATTGGTATATCAAAAGGTGGGTTTGGAGATTATTTTATTTCTATAACTAGAGAGTTCAGTTCTCTGAACACAATCTGACCAACTGGTATATGCTAGAATCCTGAATTTGTTATTTGGACACTGGGTCTCTCTGTGGC
Organism: Homo sapiens; assembly: GCF_000001405.40. Lineage (NCBI taxonomy): Eukaryota > Metazoa > Chordata > Mammalia > Primates > Hominidae > Homo > Homo sapiens. The sequence continues at coordinate 101,147,175 of NC_000006.12, read as the reverse complement.
TCTGGTAATCTTGCATTTAACTCAATGTTAAACAAATCAACTAACATTTCTCAGTATCATTTTTCTGATTGTACTGTGAGAATAATGAAACGTGTGACTTTTCTACCTTATAAGTGTGAGTGGATGTTAATTATGTGCAACATTTACCAAGTAGCCTAAGAACAGCACTATGTAGAGCTACACAGAACTGAAAGAATCATCTGAGGAAAAATGAGCTAAAGGGGAAAGATGAGAAAATCTGTGTACTGGCTAAATCGCAAGTTTTTTAAAAATGGCCAATATATTTATTAAACAATTTCTGTAATTCTAATGCATTTGGTATAAAAATCATATACAATTATTACCAAATGTTACATGGCAGACAGATTATCCCCTCTTAACAGCATAGCAAGAGTTCATGAATGGAAGGCTGTGTTATTTGTGTTGGCGGGGATGCTTAAAAAACTATGGACATTTCCTATTTAAGGCATATATTTTAAGAGCAGACCAGATTGCTCAGTTCTCATTTTTCAACCACAAAGAGAATGAACAATGAATGCTATTCAGTGATTTTTCCCTTTTTGGGGAGGGCATTGGTCAGAGGGCTCCCATCATTCCTTACCACACAAGATTCCGCTTTCTCTTCTGGCCTGAACTCTTTGATGTCACTGATTTCACAACAACTTTCTATGATCACATTGTGAGTAATTGACAATATTTTGATTTACATTTCATAAATTGAACAAAGAATATCGCACATCATAAAACATCTAGAATTATGTCATCCATTTTCTGGGGCAAAATCAGTATGGCTAACATGATAAAGATATTTTACTGTAATCAACTTACAAAGAAGATATTTAATTTGACCCCAACATTTGCATTATAGAAAATATTCATGATTCATCTAATATTTATACAACAACTTTAAGGAGAGTGTTTTAATGACCTAATTATTCTCACAGCAGTTAAAAGCAAGTTTTATTAACAGGGAGATTACATTGTATTTGATAGCAAGGCTAGCACTGAAACCCAGATTGCCTGTCTCTGATGTAGCATTCTATGCCACACTTCATTTTTTCTTCAGTTATCTGATAAGTAACTACTGTGTGTCAAATACAGTGCTTGATACTGTTAAAATAATGCAGAGCTTAGAGTCTGAAGGTCCTGGGGTTTGTTTGTTTGTTTGTTTGTTTGTTTTGAGATGGAGTTTCACTCTTGTTGCCCAGGCTGGAGTGCAATGGTGTGAACTCGGCTCACTGCAACCTCCGCCTCCCAGGTTCAAGCGATTCTCCTGCCTCAGGCTCACAAGTAGCTGGAATTACAGGTGTGTGCCACCACACCCGGCTATTTTTTTTTATTTTTAGTAGAGACTATGTTGACCAGGCTGGTCTCAAACTCCTGACCTCAGGTGATCCACCCACCTAGGTCTCCCAAAGTGCTGGGATTACAGGCTAGAGACACTGTGCCTGGCCTGGTCCTGGTTTTTAAAATGAGCCTACCCCTTATTAAATGTGTGACTATGGGCAAGATCCATTACCTCTCTACAATCTTCTTTGATAAGATGAGCATAATACCTACTTCACTGGGTTGTTTTGAGGAATAAGTGAGATGCTGTATATAGGTAAGTTGTCTAGAATATTCTGGATGCTTAGTAAATGTGAAGGAGTAAGAAGAAAAGAAAGGAAAAAAACAGGAGGATGGGGGGGAATAGTACTAAATGAAATAGTGAGGTTATAATTACTTGTTCCTCATCTTACTTTCTTCACTATAACCATCATCATTTTCTATCTCTTTCCTATCTCCCCAGCTCCAGAACACAGCCCTAACAGAAGTCCAAGTCAGCACTGGTAAAATCAACTGCTTATCCTCAGTTGGCAAAAAGCTAGTAACAACATTTTTACTCCATCTATTCTCAAAAATGTTTTCTGCCTTGGGCTTCTTTATCTTGTCTACTGCCTCCTTCTCCTCCTTAATGCCAACTCTCCCTTTGATTTCCATTAAATTGCCTGCTCCAAGTTTCATTTTCTTCCATTCTTCCTTATCCTCCTTACTGTCTCCTCCTCATTTCTCTTTCTTCTAAATGTAGCATTTCCTCAAAACTCTATGTTAGGAACTTACTCTTTCTCTATAGCCTCTTTCCCTATAATCCCATCCATTATCATAGCTTCAACAGTTTAAACCTCCTCACCCATAGCCCAATGTTCCTCTCTGCTCTAAATCTGCATTTTCAACTCTGCCTAGCATCTCAACTGAAGTGCCCTGCATTGAACCATAACTGCACAGGATAGCTTTCATGAGCCCTCCAGATCATTCTCCACCCTTCACCCTACTCTGCACCCTGGGAGGCTGACATAAGTGGATGACATCAACAGTCCTCTTGCCCTCTGGCTTCCAGTTTGCCTGGCCAAGGGGAAGTCCTAGCAAGAAACCAAAAGGAGGGAAGAAAATAGTCAGGCTATTTTCCCTGAGGTTGCAATAAACCAGCTGCCTCCCTCTGCAAAGGGTTTTCTGTCCCACACAATTCTTTCCTTCTGGGTTCTGATAATGCTTCTTTCTCACCACTTCAGACATAGGGGTGGTGATGCTACCTGCTCTAACTCATCCAAGGAACTGCATCATCTATCCCCAGTAACTTTCCCATGCTGTTGACAGCTGTAAAAACAGTTCCATTATTAAACTTTTCCCAAATTACCCAAATTGAGTATACCACTTGTTTTCTGTTTGAACTCTGTGTAACAATTCTTACATCTCTGCCCTGCAATCCCACTCCTTTCTAAGTAATCTAGGTACTAAAATATTGCAATAACTTTACAGTTTATCTTCTCTCCTCTAATCTCAATCTAGCCTAATTTCTGCCAGACCATGTTTCTTTAACTATAGCACCAAACCTACTCTTCTTTTCCTCAAATTCTTTCAATGGCTCTCTACTTCCAATGAAATTAAGTCTGGATATTTCACCTAATATTTAGACCCTTCTTCAAGTGTCATTCTAATTTCATTTCCCACCAAGTCTCCAACTGTACTTCAGATCTCAGTTACCTTCAACTACTCCCTATTCCTTCAAAATATGGACCATGTTCCCACCATTTAGCTTTGCTCACACGCTTCATTCTTCCACCCCTGTACTTCTCACCAATCAAAATCCCATCCCTTATGCCCATCTTAATGCCATCCTTTTCACAAATCTCAATTACTTTAACTAGTTTGGTGCAAAACAGACATATAAACCACTGGAACATAATAGAGAACCCAGAAATAATGCCACACACCTACAATCATCTAATCTTTAACAAAGCTGACAAAGAAAAGCAATGGAGAAGAGACTCCCTATTCAATAAATGGTGCTGGGATAACTGGCTAGCCATATGCAGAAGATTGAACTGGACCCCTTCCTTACATCATGTACACTAATCAACTCAAGATGGAATAAAGACTTAAATGTAAAACCTAAAGCTATAAAAACCCTGGAAGAAAACCTAGGAAATACCATTCTGGACATAGGACCTGGCAAAGATTTTATGATGAAGATGTCAAAAGCAATTGCAACAAAAGCAAAAATTGATAAATGGGACCTAATTAAACTAAAGAGCTTCTGCACAGCAAAAGAAACTATCAACAGAGTAAACAGACAACCTACAGAATGGAACAAAATATCTGCAAACCATGTACCTGACAAAGGTTTAATATCCAGAATCTATAAGGACCTTAAACAAATTTATAAGCAAAAAGCAAACAACTCCATTAAAAAGTGGGTAGAGGACAGGAACAGGCACTTTTCAAAAGATGACATACTTGTGGCCAACAAGCATATGAAAAAATGCTCAACATCACTAATCATTAGAGGAAGTGCAAATCAAAACCACAATGAGATGCCATCTCACACCCATCAGAATGGCCATTATTAAAATGTCAAAAAATAACAGATGCTGATAAGGTTGCAGACAAAAAGTAAATTTTTCTGATGGAAGTGTAAATTAGTTCAGCCTCTGTGGAAAGCAGTGTGGTAATTTCTCAAATAAATAAAAACAGAAATACCATTCAACCCAGCAATCCCATTACTGGGTATATACCTAAGGAAATATAATTCACTCTACCATAAAGACACATGCACACATATGTTTATTGCAGGAATATTCCCAATAGCAAAGACATGGAATCAACCTAAATGCCCATCAATGGTAGCCTGGATGAAGAAAATGTGGTACATATACACCATGAAATACTACACAGCCATAAAAAAATGAGATCATGTCCTTTGCAGCAACATGGATGCAGCTGGAATATCCTAAGCTAACTAACACAGGAACAAAATACCAAATGCTATATGTTCTCAATTGTAAGTGGGAACTAAACAACGAGAACACATGAACACAAAGAGGGGAACAACAGACACCAAGACCTTCTTGAGGGTGGAGGATGGGAGGAGGGAGAGGATCCAAAAATACCTATTAAGTACCATGCTCATTATCTGGGTGAGGAAATAATCTACATACCAAATCCCCACAACATGCAGTTTAGCTATATAACAAACCTACACATGTACCCCTAAACCTAAAATTACAAAAAAAATTGTACTTTTCTTACTTTTTTATTACAATTATTTGTGTTCTTATCTTCATCCCACTATTGATTCATAAGCTTCTTGAGGAGAAAGCCCATATCTTGCCCCATTTTTATATAACCATCTTGTACATAGTGCTCTGTTAAAGAGACATTAAATGAAAAGTTAAATTTTAATGATAGTGTCAGAAGCTACTCATGTATTTCTAAGCCTTTGGGCTACTGGCCAAAAATTATGGAAAACGTGATCACCTACATTATATAAAGGTGTCCATCTATATTTTTGACCCTGGCTCTTGATATAACATGTATAATTTTGGAAGTCGCATACTTGTATCATTCTCTATGTCTGTATTTGTAATTTTGCCTCTAGGTCTAGTAAAAAGAATTTCCTCATCCATTTTATTACTGCACATCACATGCAGCAAGGAATCAAGTACATATGGGACTTTGATGTATTAAATTTTCTTCCACATGTCATGTAGAAAGCTGGAGATGGAGTTCTGTCACAAAGCCTAAACTAAATGTCAAAAATCCAAACTGTCCACTTTTATGACTCATGATAAAAGGGTAGTGTCTGCTGGCCTACTTGCTACTTCATGTATATAGTAGGTCATTGCTGCTCAAAATCCAGGACAGAGAAAGAACAGAACTTTCAACTTTCTAACAGGAAAGGAAAAAATCTGCATTTAGCTAAGCTGCAGTGTAGCTCTTTCATTGTTCACATTAGCCATGTTGTCCAAAGTCAGGTTGTTGATGGCCAATTTGACAAAACAAAACAGACTATGGGAGGGTCTTAGAGATAAGACGGTGAGCTTGTCTTTTCATTGGCTCATTCACCAATTCATTCAATTACTTATTAAATAAGAGTTTGTGGAGTGCTTACAATGTGCCACGTATGGGGAACCAGCAAACGATAAAGAAATAAAGTAATAAAAATAGTAAAGAAATGCTTCAGGGAACTCACAATATAGTTGGGAAGGCACAGGGTTCAACCTCTTTCTTTTACAAAAAAAATTTAGAAGACTTTTTTCTCACCTCTACTTACTTTTTGTTGTAATAACCAAAATATTAAGGCATATATGTGATATAAACATTTATATTATTGCCCACACCTTTCCTTCTTTCTTCTAAATCACTGTTCTCAGTAACTTAGACCCATTTCTGAACCTAACCTTTCAGTAATAAGAGCTGAAAAGACTTATCTGAGGTTATTTAGCTGGTGAGGGAATGGCTGACACCAGAACACTGCTGACATCCTGCCCTTCCACCACCCAAGTGGTTTGAAATAATCTTAACAGCTATTTTTTCAAATAATATATTATACAGAATCCCATTATATAAAATGGTAAGTGATGTATAAAAATATACATTATATAAAATCATAAAATGCTGAATGAGGTCCTTGGGTAATTAAAATCTTAATTGTTAGGTGGAAAGTACTTTGCTGTTTCACTATCCTGAAACATCTCCAGGAAGTCATTGTGTTACCAAAAGCATGATCTGAAAACCTGTTCCACCAACCCCAACATGCATTTTTGATCACTTCAGTAATATCCTCTTGAGAGTAGGAACGCTATCTCTTCTTCATGACTATAGGAAGTCTTCATCAACACTTTCTTGGCAGAGAAACAACAATACATAAGCTAGTAAGGATCCTGAATAAAGAACTCCATGGTAGATTTCTACAAGATTTATGTGAATGAGGCATTCAATAATCCTGAAGGATATGAATTCAAGTAGCAATGGTTAATTTTTTGATCTGGTCCTTACAGAATGCTCACAGTACAATGGACTAGGTAGCATATGAGATTAAAAATTGCCTGGTTCTTGTTCTCCAGAAGACTAGAGACCAATTTTGGTCTTTGATTAAAAACCTCAGAATCCTCAAGCAGACTCGCTTTCATTTACTTTTTCTGTTTTACACAGAAGCAATACAAAGCTTCCCTTTGCTGGGGGTCACCCTGAATGACCTAATTGAATGTCAGGAGCAGTGACTTCCCAGAGAGGTTTCTATTTCAGTTGAATGAACTTCAGTGACTTTCTGGCTGCCTGAGGGCCAGACCTGAAACAGCAAAAGATCCTGTTTGTGTCTAGCTTCTGAGAATAGCTTACCTGAACCCTCAGTTTTGATCTAACATGGAGAGTACTCATTCCTATCTATGAAGTTACAATGTCACCAAAAGCAGTGTTCGGTTTTACCTGTGATTTCAAAACTTTGAAAGAAAAAGAAAAGACAGATGTGCAGATAATTGCAACATACGTGTTCAGAAAACAAAGAAAATATTTTTTAAAACTAATTGTTCAGAGTAAAGAAAAATGAGTAGAGAAACAATGGCAGTTGTAAATATTATATTCAATGAGAATAAAGAGAAAATAATGTCTACTACATTTAAGAATACATAAAGCAAAGGAAAATAAATCAGTGAAATAAAGTGCAATGCCAACCAAAGCAGGAGTGCAGAAGTTTGGTTGACACTTTATATGTAGCAAGTGAGCTTTCCTAAATTTCTTTTCCTATGTGTATTTATCAAATTCTTGCAATTAAGGACCAAGGCTACAACATGCTGTGAAAACAAGAGAAAGTAGTTAAGGAGCAGAAGCTACTAATAATAACTGCATGGTAGGATAAGGAGTTTGGACAAAGTAAACTATTTTATTACAGAATACTTTTCTAAAGGTATAAATTCATCCTTTTTATCATTTCATTGGAATAAAGAAAAAGTTGAAATATATTATTGGCTTATAATCTTTCATGATAAACATCTGTCCTTAATTGCTTAAAGAACAGTGGCCAGGAGTGGTGGCTCACACCTGTAATCCCAGCACTTTGGGAGGCTAAGGCAGGCTGATCACGAGGTTAGGAGTTCGCGACCAGCCTGGTCAACAAAGTGAAACCCCCGTCTCTACTAAAAATACAAAAAAATTAGCCAGGCATGGTGGCGCGCACCTGTAATCCCAACTACTTGGGAGGCTGAGGCAAGAAGAATCACTTGAACCTGGAAGGCAAGGGTGCAGTGAGCCGAGATGGCGCCACTGCACTCCAGCCCAGTGACCGTGTGAGACTCCATCTCAAAAAAAAAAAAAAACAGCTTAATTAAAAAAGAAATAAATATAAAATCAAAGGGTTTTCTTTGTGACCTCCTCTAAATACTATAATCAGTGGGGTGGTCTGCTTCTAATGTTCTTTCATTAGTTTTTACAGTGGTATACAACCATGCTATAGAAATCATGTCAGAAAAGGTGGCTGGTCTTGGCTGAAGCCTCTATCTCTGGCATCAAACATCAATTCACATATGTAAATACAGATGTCATGGATTCAGTTCTGCCATGAAATTCATATGTTGAAGTCCTAACTCCCAGCACCTTAGAATGTGACCTTATTTGAAAGTAGGATCTTTGCAGATATAATTATTTAAAGTGAAGTATTACTTGAGTAAGTTATATCTGGTGTCATTATAAAAAGTGGAGACTTAGACACACATGCATACTGGGAGCCCACCATGTGAAGATCAGAGTTCTGCTGCCACAAACCAAGAGGCTAGGAAAGAGGCATCGTACTAACTCTTCTCTTGTACCTTCAGAGGGAGTGTGGCTCTGCCAACCCCTGATCTTCGACTTCTACCCTCCAGAACTATGAGACAACAAATTTCTGTTATTTAAATTGCTCAGTTTATTGTACTAGAAACTAATACAATGGGACTGTAAAAACTCGATTAGATTAATAAACTACTCTAGCTTGTTTACTGCTTGTTTACTCTCATGATAGGAAATTCATGAGAACTGATCAAGTACATTGTAAGGATAATCAGTCGCTCTTTACATCAAAACCTATAGGTGAGGAATTGTTCAATGATCAAAGCACTCCAAATCAACTGATAAATCTTTAACTACTAAACAGATACATGTATTTTTCTTTTCCTAAAGAAAGATATACCAGTGGATGACAAATTTTGAGAGTCAAATAATTAAATGTTAAAAGCCCAACCAGTTTCTATAGTGCCTTTCCAAATCCTTAGGTAACAGCCATGATTGAAAGATTCTACATGTGAACCACCAAAGCGATGCTTCATGAATAAAATAGCAGAGGCAAAAGAAGTGGATGTACCTTCTCAAAATAGCAGATAGTGAGCACAGAGAATAAAGCATGTCCAGTTTTATGGTTAATTTAAAATTATAAGCCTTGAGAAACATGTAAGGCCACCATTATATTGTTCAGATACAATAAAATACAGCAGATGATATCCATTAAAAGATACTGAAAATCTCAATAAAAAAGTTTTACAAAATGCTATATTAACAGTTCTTTAATAAATGTTATACGTTAAATATGAAGGTTGCTGACATTAGAAAAGGGAGAGAAATTCTCATGAATTACCTGTACCAAATATTTTGCCCTAGAGATAATAGAAAATTAAGAAGATGAGAAGTAGGAAATGATGTGTATTTTATACTTACATTTTTTTGCTACTTCTTGATTTTAATTTTATAGTTTAATTTTTAATTTATAGTTTCCTATAAATTAAAAGATTATAGTCTATTGATTTTTCTCAGTCATATTTATTAAAATATGATTTACTTAAAATGTACACTTTTTAATTATAAATCTCTACCGTCAGTTCTATGAATCCCGATAATTGCATAGAATTCTGTAACCCTCACCAAACCAACATACAAAACAGGCCCATCACCTCATAAAATCTCCTTGTGCTTCTTTGTGGTCAAATTCTTCCTCTACTCCCATTACCTGACAACCACTGTTCTGATTCTGTCCCATTGTTACAAACAAAATCTTTCAAAATGATGATTTAATTTATCAAAAGTGTTGATTATGTTGAGTAAAATAATACAGTTCTAAAGAAGTTTGAGATTCATTCATATCATTACATATATCTATAGTCCATTTTTTATCTCATTGCTGAGTAGCATTCCATTTTATGAATGGACTGCAGTTTGTGTATCCATCCACCAGCGAAAGGATATTTGGGTTGTTTCCTGTTTGGTGCCATTACAGACAAAGCTGCTATAAACATTAGTGTACATTTTTATAATTTCTCTTGAATAAATTACCTAAGAGTGGGAATGCTGAACATTATGATAAAAATACATTTACCTTCATAAAAAACCTCCAACTTTTCCACAGTAGCTGTACTATTTTGCATTCCCATCAGCAATGTACAAGAGCTCCAGTTGCCCCATATCTCAGCTAGCACTTGGTACTAGCAGTTTTCTCTCTGTATTTTAACCATTCTAATAGGTATGTAGTGACATCTTGTTGTGAATTTAAATTGCACTTTCTTGATAACAAATCATATTTAGAATTGTTGTATGTGCTTATTTGCCATCCACATCTCTTTTTGGTGTAAGTCAGTTAGTTCAATTTTTTATTATTGTATTTTGAGAGTTATTCTTATATCTGGATACTAGTCATTTATAAGATATGTGATGTGAAAATATTTTACTCAGGCTACGGCTTGTCTTGATTTTTCTAAACTGCATACGTCTTAAGAAGAAAAGTGTTTTTTATTTTAATAAAGTGAAATTGATCTAATTTTCTTTTATGGATCGTGTTTTTGATATCATTTCTAAGAAAACTTTGCCCAACCTGATGTCACAAAGATTTTCTTCTATACTTCTTCCAGAAGTTTTATAGTTTTAGGTTTTACATTGAGGTGTCTGATCCATTTTTAGTTGATTTTTGAAATTGGTGCAAGGTATGGATCAAGGTTTTTGTTTCATATAGCTATCCCCTTCTAGCGTCTTTGTTGGAAAACATCCTGGACTTCCAGTATCAGGTTCAACATGCAGGAAGCTTAGAAGTGAGCACTCCAAACCTTATAACAAGAAAAGAAGCTGGATGAACTCAAAAGTTGATGACTTTTCTTGACCTAGCAGAGAATTGAGGCTGCAGGGCAAACTGCCACCCCTGAAATCTGGAGAGATGGGTGAATACAGAGAATGGCAGCAAGATCTTTTTACATGAAACAGAATCCACTGAACCATAAACTGGTAAGGATACTTAAGTGGTAATTTTTTTACTAATTACTGGAAGTTTAGAGCAGATTAGTATGAAAGTGAGAAACTCCTTCTGGCCATAGTCTTAGGACCCTACCCACCCTCAACAATTGTGAGTTTTACCTCAAGGAACATAATGGGGTTTCATATGGGTACTAGCGTGAGAGGGCTTTGTTGCACATAGTAGGTTTTCGTCTTTACATTTTATAGGATATTTTTTGCATTTCTCAAACTCGGGTTTTATTAAGTCACTGTTGGATTCACAGCTGTTTCTTATAATTAATGATGCCAAATAATTGAAATGTTAACTATACTTATTTGGTTGACAAGTACAAGCCAAACATCTATCATTGGGTACTATTAAAATGTTTATAAGATACATAAGGAAAAGTGAAAGTATAAGCTACCATATGAATTAGAACTCATCAAACAGCAAGTCATTTTTAAAGGAACTTATTAAAAGTTAAATTGAAAATAACAACTTATTAATAATGATGTCTTACCAAACAGTTGTTTAAATTCAATTGTTTGTTTCTGAAATGTGGTTTTAAGGAGAAAAATTAAAATTTAAAGTAGATTAGTTAAGGTTAACACTAGACTGGATAAATGAGGGGCATACAAATACAATACAAATAAAGAACTTAAAAGGGGGAAAGCACTTTGGTGAATATAAGCATATTTCAATAATGTAGCTTGAAAACATGGAAGGAGTTGGAAAAAACAGAATGGTACCAAGTGCCACAAAATCAAGAGGAAAAATATATAAAAATGCATAAGGATTAGCTTGATTGAAGAAAGAAATGCCTGTGTCTTTTCAAATGGAAAAAGGAGCCAGGCGGAAAAGTAGCTTAAATGTTTCCTAATTGTAAACATCACAAATAAGATCAAGAAACATTGCAAAGAATTGATGGAACAAAAATGAGCAATCGGAATTGGAGGAAAATAGGCATTCAGGTAATGTCGAGCTCATATTACACATATAGAAATGAGAGAAAAATATTTAAACAGAAAAAATAATATTTGGAAAAGGTTACAAAAAAAGAATATACCAAAACTTAATATGTTAAAAGGTAATATGATTCAAACATTTAAGCAAAGAAAGAAATGTCAATTGCACGCCAAGAAAATAAAATAGAGGTGTTTGAAGACATTACTATCTCAATAAAATATTCTCACTTAAAATGACAGAGAAGGATCCAAAAGGCTAAACAGAATACATGAAAGTCATAAAAGTAGACAATCAAAATGAATCGACCCACAATAAGTTACCACAAAATCTAGTTTCCCACGTGGTTGTTTGAATCACTTGTGTCAATTTTTTTATGAATGTGGTAGACGGAAAACACTAAAGAAAGGCCATTGATCTGGAATGTAATTATTTCAAAAATGACTACAATAAATAATGCAAAAATACAAAAAAGAAGAGATGTAACACCTGCCAAGTGTCTATTATGCAATTAAGCGAAATCATCACAGCAACACTTTAAAGTCAATATTATTGCTCAGATTTTACAGACAAGGAAACTAAACTCTAGCAGGCTAAGAAATTAACCCAAGGAATACCACTGGAAGCCAAGAAAAGGGACTCAGATGTGGTTCTCCGAAGGCAAAGCCTGTGTTCTTTGCTTCCTTCCCTACTACAACTAAATCTAGTGATGTACACAACAATGGACACTATTATTTGTAGTAGGAAAGGAAAAAAAATGAAAGTGCAAATTATAGGACTCTATAGTAGGAATGGTAGGAATAAGGGCATTCAGTATAAAATTGTTCAACTTCGTTGTATGTTTAAAAACTTTCAAAATAAAATGTTGCCATCTGGGGGTAGGAAAGATACCTGACTGAAAGATCTAAAGAGAAAAAAAACTCTAGACATTAAATGTGGAGTGGTCACCTCAACTGAGTATCAAAAAACTCAAAGGCCCATTTTCTTAAAAAATATCTTCACCAGAGTAGCAAAATATATGTACATCTCTTTTGGTTAAATGGCTTTATAGCTCTCGTGTTGAAATAGAGATACATTGCCTGGATTGGAATAAGATCTTAAACCATTTAAATCCATGAACATATTATGATAATTTCATCATCTTAATACTTTAGAAATTATACAAGAGGCCCTAGAATAATGGGGCAAGGAACACTAATTAATTTAGTGTTCCTTGATAACACTAATTAATAATAATAATAAGAGCTTTACACCTATACTGTGTTTACTATGTTACAGACACTGTTCTAAATACATAACAAGCAATAACTCATGTAAGCTTCTTAAAAATAAGACGAAGAAGGTATTTTTATTATATTCTACAATTGATAACAGTAGTTTGACTCCAGATAACACATTCGGAGCCATTGTACTGCATAGCCTTTCTGAGGTTCATTGCTATCTCCAACATACATGGAACCCCCTGGACACCTGGGAGAGGTAAAGTGTTAAAAGTGATGGTGGTAAAGCTAAGGGGGTTGGGTAGAGGGGTTGGTGCAGAGGTAGGATTTAAAATGAAATGTACAGCCAGGCTTGGTGGCTCACATCTGTAATCCCAGCACTTTGGGAGGCTGAGGAGGGCGGTTCATGAGGTCAGGAGTTTGAGAGCAGCCTGGCCAACATGGTGAAATCCCGTCTCTACTAAAAATACAAAAAAAATTAGCTGGACATGGTGGCGGACACCTGTAATGCCAGCTACTCGGGAGGCTGAGGCAGAAGAATCGTTTGAACGTCAGAGGCGGAGGTTGCAGTGAGCCGAGATCGTGCCACTGCTCTCCAGCCTGGGTGACAGGGCGAGACTCTGTCTCAAAAATAAATAAATAAATAAATCATACATGACTTCACTTACGTTCTCACCAGTGCATTTTTTGTGATAGGAAAAGAAAGGAAAACTATATCTACATGATGTTTTGGATAAAATAATTATTTAGAAACATGATAGAAAGTCAGTAAGAAGCTAAAAAGGAAAGGAAAAGAAAAATATAGATGTTTATGCACTGGAAGTAATGAAAATTGAGCAAAGAAAGGGGGAAAAGATTATTGTGATTTATAAAAATTAATTTTTACAAAATTTCTATCTTAGTTCAGCTGCTATAACAAAGTATCATAGACTGGGTGGCTTATAAACAACAGAAATTTATTTCCCAAAGATCTGAAGGCCAGATGTCTCATATCAGGGTGCCAGCATGGTCGGTTTCTGGTGAAGGCGCTCTTCCAGGCTGCAGGACTGCCATCATCTTGTTGTATCCTCACATGGTAGGAAGAGGACTAGAGAGCTCTCTGGGGTCTCTTTTGTAAGGGCACTAAACCTATTCAAGAGGACTCCAGATCCACGACCAAATTACCTCTCTACCTCCTAATACCATCACATTGGGGATTAGGATTTCATATGAAATCCCAACATATGAATTTTGGGGAGACATAAACATTCAGTGCATATAAATTTGGGGAGACACAAACATTCAGTGCATAACAATTGCTAAGTCAACAGTAATAACATTTTAAGTAGAAAAGTATCTGAAGATAGAGCATGGAGTGAGTCCATTAGGCCAAATGCAAGACAGGTGCAAACCATTATGCATTTCTATACAAATGTTTTTCCTTTTAAATGTTTCTAGTTGCATTATTTTATTATCATGTTTTCCTACTCTGTACCCCAAAATTTTCTGGTTGGAGAAAATCCCTCATCATATGTTATGAGGGCTCTGATTGCATAGGCTGAAGGGCCCAGAAACTCCCTCCTTGCCCTCAGAGAGCCAAATCAAAGATACATGACCTAAGATCTGTCAATTGGATGTTTGTACTAGGGAGTTCCAGTCCTGCAGGAGTAATACAAACATTCAGTGGCTGGAATCTATGTTGGAGGCCTAGACCAAAACCATGTCACCTCCAATAAGCAAACAGAGACTGGGAAGCCTCAAGCAGTACTCAGGCTGTTCTAAGGCATGATCTAGGCTGTTTACCACTGCAAGTGGCCTTACCTCTTGCCATTTCTAAGCTTAATTCGTCAGCACTTCTATTGCTTCTATAATTTCTCTTCCAATCAACTCATTTTCAGCTTAAATTTGGTTTAGTTTTATTGCTTGTGACTAGAAAACCTGAAAAACAAAAATTGGTCCTAAGGAGGGGCCACAGCATTGAAGGCAAGATGCAGAAGGCCACACTGCAACAAAGAAAGTATGAAAACATGAAGACCTGGTGTGGTGCTTTTTTCAGTGGCATTAAGTAGATAAGAGAGGACATGATAAGCTCATATCCTCAAATGTTGGGCTAAAAGAACAAACTGATACCCAGAGGCTTTCTGTGAATGTACTAAAGAATTGCTTCACTGTTAAACTTCAGGGCAGAGGTGGCAAAAAGCCCAAACTTTGGGGGTGGGCAAGTAATTTGTGTGGGTTTTTTATCTTTTTTTTTTAAGACAGCGTCTCACTATGTTGTCCAGGTTGGAGTGCAGTGGCATGATCATGGCTCACTGCAGACTCAACCACCCAGGCTCAAGTGATCCTCTCACCCCAGCCTCCTAAGTAACTGAGACTACAGGTGCATGCCACCATGTCCAGCTAATTTTTTTTTTTTTTTAGAGATGGAGTCTTGCTATGTTGCCTGGGCTGGTATCAAACTCCTAGACTCAAGTGATCCTCCTGCCTTGGCCTCCCAAAATGGGTGAGCCACTGCATCCAGCAGTAATTTGTTGAATTACGTCCACGGAAGTTATAGCTTCACCACTTCCTTTTATATGGAAGTTACGGTATTGATGAAGAAAAAGTAAGACCCTATAAATTAGAACAGGTATAAATAAAAGGCTTCAGAAGACACAAAATACTTTAAACTCCAACCTCTTATTCACACCTATGTGTCCCTCCCTTGTCAGCTGACATATCCACTACTTCATTTTCTGATGAAGTTCTTCCTCCATTGCTTGGAATCATGTCTTACCTGGGGAGTTATCTTAAAAGATGAAGTCAATATTCAAGCCTCTTCTGCCTCAGTCTAGCATACCTGTAAGGTCAAATACATCAAAGAATTTTTCAGTGTACTGCCTTGAGCAGCTGAGAAGGATTATAATTGTTTTCTCAGCTGATTATTAGAAACTTGGAGTCAGTGATGGACAACACTAAAATGAGGCTGACATGCCAAAAAGTCCTTGATGGTTTCCATTAAAAATTCCTGATGGCTCTACATTCAAAATGTATTCAGGGTACAATAGTTCTGACCATCTAACTGTATCCTGGACTGA